>NW_021160029.1:0-68192 GCF_000001405.40 Homo sapiens | reverse complement strand
ATTTTCTACTAAAAGCAATACTGTATTTGAATATCCTTGCACATGAATCTTTGCACATTGGTAAAGTTGTCTTTTTTAATGGAATTATCTATATATGGTAAATTTCTAGTTATAGAATTGTTCAGTCAATGACCATATATAATTTTTATGCATATGGCCAAACTGCTCCACAGCAAGTTCATACCAATTTATACTGGAATCAGCAGTGTATCAGATCACTTACTTCCTCATCCTTCCACCAATAAAATGGTGAAAGGCAATTATTCAGTCTGTTTTAATTTGTATTTGATTAACAATGAAATCAAGCAAGTTTATGCCATTTTTTGGTCATCTGTATTTTTTTCTTTTTCTGTTTTTGCAAATTTTCCATACATGCCTTTTGGGCATTTTTCCATTGACTTAATTTTTATCTCTTGGATTTATAATAATATAATAGTTTTTTGCATGTACAATACATAACATTAGTTATTTGCATTTGAGCCTTGCTGATTTTCTTTTTGGACACACATCACAAAGCTGCTTAGCATGTTCATATACTGTAATCCATCAGTCATTTTCTTTCATTGTTTTTGCGTTTAAAGCCATGCTTAGAAAGTCCATTGCCCTCTTCTTTATATAAAAATATTCACCAATATTTTCTTGTTCTTAACAATTTTCATCTTTAAATTTTTGTCTTTTTATTCTACATGGAACTTGTCTGGATATGTCATATTAGGAAGGGTTTTACTTTTTGTCAAGTATTTAATTAGTTTTTACAGCACCACATACTAAATGATCCTCCCTTTCCCCACTGATTTTAAGCTACTTTTAGCATATATTACAAACTTTCATGTATTCGATTCTGTTTGGGGCCTTTCTAGTCCATTCCAGAATTTCGTTCTTGCAACAACATGATTTTAAGTGTTTCCTTCCCTTTTATGGTATGTTTTGAATGCCTGTCACTAATTTGTATTATTCTTAAAAACATTTCCTGACACTTGTCATTTATAGTTTCAAATATACTTAATTATTTCAAATTTGTACATCCATTAGTAATATTGTTGGGTCTTTGTTATGAGTCTAGCACATTATAGGTTAATATCTCAGAACTGTCCTCTGTGTGTGTATGTGTGTGTATTTAAAGTGAAGGAGATTATTTTTATTTGTTATATTTTATAACTTTTATTTCTGATATATGGGAAAGCTGTTGACCTTTCATATTTAATTTATACACAGTACTTCAACAAATTAAATGTAATGGCTCTTTTATTTCTACGTGTGTTTTCCTGGTATGCAGTCACATTATCTGCAACTAATGATAATTGATAGTTATACTTCTTATTTATTTATTTAATCTTAATATGTTGGCAAGAATCTCCAACATATTACATATTAATATCTAATAACCAAAATGCCATCATATCCCATTATCTTTTCTCTTCTCTTACTTAATGGGAGTGGTTGTAGTCCTTCTTATATAAGTTATTGTTTATTTTATGTTTAGAATATATGTTTTTTTATGTCAAGAATGATCCCGTCTAATCTGTGAAAAATTTAACTGCTTTTAACTAAGAATTGATTTGGAATTTTATCAAATAGGTTTTTAGTGTCACTCAACATTATTACTTGTTTCTTCTTTCTGTGATAATGTTTAAATTAAACATAGTGAATCAGACTTCCCTATATTTTACCATCCATGCTATTCTTCTAAAAAATGTCTTGAATTTTTTAGTCTATTAAATTGGTAATACATTTTAAGGACTACATATGGATAAACTTGACTTCGAAACATATTGTGAAACAACAGATTATAAA
This sequence comes from Homo sapiens, assembly GCF_000001405.40. Taxonomy (NCBI): domain Eukaryota; kingdom Metazoa; phylum Chordata; class Mammalia; order Primates; family Hominidae; genus Homo; species Homo sapiens. The sequence continues at coordinate 66,398 of NW_021160029.1, read as the reverse complement.
TATAATTGCCATTATCTTTTATGGAAATGCATAATCTGAAAGGTTGCTGGGTGAGGTTTTGACCTGTAAAAGGCAAGAGGAAATCTTTGCTATATTGCCCTTCTTATCTGTCCTTGTGTATTTTTTTAATCTATCAGGAAGTGCTCTGTTAAAGTATTTTCACTCATGTATATGCTGTTTTACAAGTCCTCTTGGGGGCGCATATACATATTTTTATGCCTGTCAGTGCTCACCTATGTGCATGCTATGTAAACTATTTTTTGTCACTTAGAACATAAACATTTCTCTTCTCCTTTAGCTTATCAGTGTTGCTGTCCAACTGATTCCAGGCCCCACTGGAACATTTTGGGGTTTCCTAGGTTACACATTTCTGTTTATCCTGTTGAATGGCTGTTTGTACTTCTTCTTCCAAGTCCTGGAAAACAAGAGAATCCAAAAACCAACAGAAGTTACTATAATGAACACAAATGTTACTATAACGAACACAATGAAGGTTACTGTGGGAACATAGGACTCTGTGCCTCACCATCAACTCAATTCCTTTTCAACTCTGTCCCATTCTCATCTGTCAATCAGATTCCCACTCCTTAGTTTATTTATTCTTTTGTAATAATTAACTGAAATAAAATGATTAAATCATTCAGTTAGTTTTCTAAGCTTCCGTCAAGTACCATGATTATTTAGGCTTTTAGTTTGTTCAAACGGCAAGTTTCTTTTTAAGCGTTCTTAAGAAAGTTTGCATTTAAAAGTGGTTAACTTTATAAGGAAAATGACTAAACATCCTGACACGTAGCATATTGCTTCAACACACACTTGTTGTTTTTCTCCATCTAGATTTTATTGCAAATATTCACCTTAATGATATTGGATAAGCCCCACTTGAGCAGTAAATGATTATATTCTTAGTCTGGCAAATTATTAAAAAGGAAGAAATTTCAACGTGGTATCTTTCTTTGTAATCATCTATGCATTTTCTTAATTCAAAATAGTGTTTTCTGTTAAGATCTTTGTAAGAGCTTCCATTATAAAGTATTAGTCACAAAATATGACTTAGAGATAAATCCAAGAAGTATTAATATACATCAATTTCACATTCATAAAGCAAAATAAACTGTTTCTAATGACAAATTTTAAAATGAGGCAAAATAATGCACTAAATATATATCTTTTGTGAGCTTCTAAGTCTGCCTACAACAAATGCTATAATATATAATCTAATGAGGTAATTAATCAGATTTAAAATAAATATTAGGCTTATTTTTACCTGTTGCCATATTTCTATGTTGTACATTTAGAACTTCAAGTACAACAGAAATAATAAGTCACTGTGTGTGAGCAGCAATTAATGTTCCTTGTTTCTCATGTTTTCCAAGATTGTCAAGTGGTGCTGGAGTAAATTGGATCAGTAATATTTTTTGATACCTTCTTATCATATACTTGATTTTGTCAATAAAGTAGGGATAATATAACATATGTTTGGTTAATGACAATGTGCATCAAAGTTAAAAAACAAATTCTTGTAAGGTGGCTTTGTTCAAATTTGACTTCGGTTTTAAAAAATTCAGAACCACCTGGAAGTAGATCTATAAAGTACTTTTATCAGTAGACGGAAAGATGGTTTTGTTGGTGCTGTAATGGTGCAATGTAAGAAAACTGCAATTTAAATTCAAACAGACTTTTCTACAGCTTCTTTGCCCTAACAATGATTACTTCTGAATTTCATTACTTAGTATCAAAGAATGATCACAGGAATTAATTCTGCAACATCAATACGAATTACTTTTTCTTTTGAAGGGTTAGCTGGAATCCTAAATGTAAGTCATTTATAATAGCACTTCCATGGGTTTTCCAAAGAATGGACATAAGAACAATATGACTGTAAATAAGCAAACTATCTCTCATTTAGTATACTTAATGATTCTTTATTCCTTTACACGTTAAGCTTTTTATTTAGTGTTCCTCGAATTGTATTTTGCAATTCACTTGCATTAGAATCATTTAAGATATCAGTTAAAGTGAAGATTCCTGGGTCCTACATCAGATGGACTAAATCAGGATCTCAAGTTGTGGGAATCCACTTTTTTTTTTCTGATCTCAGGATGATTCTGAGACTCAGTTAAGTTTGTGAACCACTGTCTTAAGGGTAAGGGTTTTGACAATATCCTGTATGCATTCTTCTTGAGGAAACTCAACCACACTCATTCATATGCTGATGGCACCAAAAGCTGTATCTGTAGCAAAAATCTCTTCTGCAATCCACACTTGCATATAGACCTGCTTAGCTCATGTAACTGAGACCTCATGTTACAAAGTGATTGCTTTATTTTTCCACCTTACCCACAACACACACAGACACACACACATACACACGCCCCTTCCCTCTTTACCTGTTCTCCTTCTTTTGAAGCCTAATGCCAACCAAGCACTACAGCATTATGTCAACCACATCCACTTAATTAAGCCCTGTGAATTTTACCTTTTCTATGTTTTTTATTCATCTACCTTCCTCTTCATTCTTATTGCCCCTGTCTTATTAACGGCCACTATTATCTCTTGTTAGACAACATTAACGTCTTCCTTACTACTTTTCCTACTTCCCCTTGGTCCCCCTCCAAACTTTTCTCCATGCATCAGCAGTGAGAGTAATCATTCTAAAATACAAATATGATCATGTAACTTCCCTGCTTAAACTCCTCCTCATCGGTCCCCTATAATCAATAAGATAATGTCCACATTTATTAAACTCTCATACTACTCCTTATGATAATGGTTATCTCTCTAATCATTTTTCCTACCACTCTTCCTTCTCCACGTAGGCACATTTTATCCCAGTTTTAGAGAACTAATAATTTTCAGCTTAAGAAACAAGCTGTCCCATCCCTTTCCTCCACTGACTGTATCAAGCCATCATGAAAATTTTCACTGATTTATTTGTCTCCTCCTCTAGATTTAGTTTGTTCATCTCTATATCCCTAGCACCAAGCACAGTTCCCAGTACACAGTATAAGTTCAAAATTTTTGTTGAGTGAATATATAAATAATGGGTAACATAATATTTATTTGTATCTATTAGTAATATGCAACATAATATAGTGCTGCAACACACCCCTTCTGGAAACAGAACTTTTAGGTTACATTCTGGCTTTGCAGCTTGTTATGTGACCTCAAACAATTTACTTAAGCATGTCTGTGCTTTAGGTCCTTTATCTTTAAAGTAGTTATAATAATAGAATCTACCTCCTAAGATTCTTGTGAAGATTAAATAAGAAAATAAATCGTTAGAAAACTATCTGACACACAGCAAGTAGTCCATAAATGCTGGCTATTATTTTTACTTCTTTCATGCTCCAAGAATTATTCCTCACTTCTGAGAGATCTCATCATTTTATTCATTTCAAAAATTTGTGTTTCTCCTCTCAGCCATCAGCTTGGAAGAGTCACATTTGTTTTAGTCTAACTGTAATGGATGTCTCTCCAGACCCTCTGTCATTTTAAAGGTTCTTTCCTGGATCTTCTCTAACTCTGACATTGGTAGATATGTTGACCAGAATTTTAAACTATATTCTTGATGAGTTTATAGACTCAAAAGGAAAATACATTTTGTTTCTACAAAATTTCCTGAAAATAGTCAACATTTTTCTTGCCTTGGTAACTACATCAACACTTTGAGGCAATATCTTCAGGAAACAGTTTACCAGAACTTCAAGATCATAATAATTTCCTGGAAGCATAATTGACAGCTCTAACCCCACAGCTCAAACCCTGTGTTTGAATATGAGTTCTGCTGACAACAGAAGGAATTTTTGTTATTTATTGTAAAGAAAATTAATAAATGGTTCAGCCTTGGGGCAGACTTATACCAATATAATATTGTTTCTCACTTGGTTGATTCTTAAAAAGATTTGTTAAGGGCAGCAAATAAGCTTTACAAGATGAGGGAAATGGAACTTTTATATAAATTTGTATGTATCAGATTTTATATGATTTATAGGTTTTGAATTCTTATTTTGTTTTGGCTATTTTAGACTGTAGATTATCATCTCGGAGAGTTCAAAAAGAATAATTTTTTTAGTAAATACTGTACCTTGTTTACAGTTAAGCAATAACACTTTGAATAAAACGTTTGAAGAGACAGTTTAATCTTTTCCAAAACAAATTAAAGAATGAGAATTTTATAGATAGAAAAGATGCCAAAAGTCATCTATCCCAATATACAAACATATAAAAACCGGACACCAGAAAAGATCTGTGACTTAACTGATTTCACACAGCTGGGCAAATGTCAAGATAGAACTGCTAAATTTTATGGGAGGTCATTGTTTTGGACTGGGCTCTTGCACTAGGCCCAAGCAGACCAGACAAAATCAGAATGAAGTCACTTGTGCTGAGTGCCATGTAATCAAACTAAACTTTGAAATGGGCTAGTGTTTTTTGTTTTTGTTTTTGTTTTTCTTGTTTTTTTTTTTAAAGAAAAAGCCAGGAGATTCCAGTTAACCTGAGTCAGCGTAAAAAGAAAGACCCCTATTTTTAAATCCATAAGGAAAGTAACTTAGAAACGATCTGTTTTTTTATTCTGTTTTTGCTTTTTTCAGCTACTTTCTTCCTATGAAACCAACCTCCTCTACTCAGTCCCTCGGAATACACATTTCATTTTATAGACTGAGGTGTTGCCTTATTCTAGAATCACAAGTAAAAGCCAATTAGATCTTTAAACTAAATTTGTTGAAATTTTGCCCGTTGACAGAACTTATTTGTGCTCACACTCAGTTTATTGTTTTAACTTTTGTGGGTACATGGTGTATATATTTATGGGGCGCATGAAATGTTTTTATACAGGCATGCAGTGCATAAAAATCACATCATGGAGAATGGGGTATCCATCCCCTCAAGCATTTATCCTTTTTGTTACTAACAATCCAATTGTACTCTTTTTGTTATTTTTAAATGTACAATTGTTATTATTGATTATGGCCACCCTGTTGTGCTATCAAATACTAGGTCTCATTTATTCTTTCTAACTACTTTTTGTACCCAGTAACCATCCCCATCTCCCCTCCACTTTCCCACTACCCTTCCCAGCCTCTGAATTTATTGTATTTTGTTAAACAGCAATAATTAATTAAATTAATTTATTATAATAGAAAATTTTTGTAATTATAAAACAACAAAGAATAATTGACACGAAGGCTAGAATGCTAAACTACAGGTTAAAATGATGAAGGTGGGGTAATTATATCAATAGGGTTTTATAATTAAGAATGGAGGTTTATATTTTGTTAAGGGCTCCAAAGTCACAAGTAAGCTCAATGGATACAAAATAATATTCATACAACCTCAAAAGCTGTACTGAATTGGACTTTTATTTGGGAAGACAAACATGTATATGTAGGGGCAATACATATAATTAATTAATTAATATAATTAATACATACAATTAATTTCAAAATTGCAAAAGAAAGTTTGTTCTTTAAAGGAATCTAATAAACATATGCTACAAGTAACAATCATCTTATAAAATGAGCAACTACCCTCTAAATGTGTGTTTCTAAAATTGTGGTCTGCTAGCCATCTACATAAGAATCATAGAGGAATCGTTTAAAATGATCAGTTTCCTAGACCCTCCTCACAGACCCCATCTCAGAACTGCAAAATAAGAATTAATGGGGACAGGGCCTGAGATCTGCATTTTATGGCCACTACACCCCCCGCATCATCTTGATTCTCTGGCAACATAATGTTTGAATGTCACTACATTCATATTATCAGAGTGAAAACTCCATTAAAAATGCTGAAGAAGGTAACTTCTATTTAACTGAATTTATGCCAATGAAAATTATCTTTCTTTTCTCATTCCTCGTTGATAATTTTTTTTAAAATTGTTAACTACCTCGAAAAATAGAGCATGCTGAGCAAATCTTTGTTATTGCCATGGACTTTGTAACACCTTGGGGCTGACCTTTGATATTTTACTACTGTTCAGAATGAGAGATAATGGAGCTGAATCTGTTTACCAAAGGCATGTCCTAGAATCCATGTAGAAAATCTCATACCTATACTTAGTTTTATTTGAAAATTTCAAATTTATAATAAAACAAAGATAATTTAGAACTTGCTCTGTGTTTTCAAAGTGAACATGTCCCCAACCCCAAGATTCTGATATGTCTCCCTCATCTCTCTTCTCTTCCTCTTACAGCCCTTCCACCTTGAGAATCACTTCTCTAGAATGAGAAAGTCTTCTCCCCACTTTAAAACATCTCCAGCCACTTCTTCTGCAGCTGCTTTGTGTTTTTCACTAATTTAGCTTAAAAAATTATTTACTTAACTTAAAGTTCATATTAGTTGGCTTTGTACTTGTGATACTTTTCCATAGCACGCTTGTTTAAAGTGAGCATGACTGCTTATGAAAACCCTATTATCAGATGTCAATGGGAATGTCTTCAGTTTCAACTTTACTGCATAAGAACTACAAAACAGAAAGCAACGATACAATCTGAAATAATCCTCTTGGGATCATGTACAATTATAGAAAAATACTGTTTGCATGTTTAATGTATGATATTTCAGGGTACTGGAAACATTAGTTTTATTGGAGCAATCAATTATATTATCAATTAGTATAATTCAGATTTATAGAATTTTTCCCTCCAATGTGCTTAATACACCAGTTAAAATTTAGAATTATTGCTTAAAACATTAAAAAATTATACTATAGAACAACTTTTGTTGTATAGTTCTGAATTTAATATAAGAATGTATTTTATAATCATCGTAACAATTGCTATACGAGATAGTTCCATCACCTCAAAACCTTCCCTTATGCTGCCCCTTTGTAACCAAAGCCTTTTCCCGCCCTTAAACCCCGGAAATCCTTGATCTGCTTTCTGTTACTATAGTTTTGCCTTTTCTAAAATGTTATATAAATGGATTCATACAAAATATATAACCCTTTGAAACTGGGTTCTCTCAGCATAATATCTTTGAGATTTATTCATGTTGTTTTATAGATCAATAGTTCAGACCTTTTAATTGCCATACTGCTGCTTGTTTCTCCATTCTGTTTACTTTTTAAAGGACTTCAGTGTTGTTCCTAGTTTGTTGATTATGTATCAAGCTACTATGGACATTTGTGTACAAGTTTTTATATGGACATATTTTCATTTATCTTGGTTTTATACTTAGGAGTGGATTGTTGGACAAAGTGATAATTCTTTAAAATTTTGGGAAACTGTCATACTATTTTCCAAAGTGGCTGCCCCCCTTACATTCCTACCATCAGTGTATGAAAGCTCCAAATTCTTCCCACTCTCATCAACACCTATACATGGTTTATGTAAACACAAGTTTTCGTTTCTCTAATGTAAAAAGAGTACCATTTCTGTATCACTCGGTAATTGTGCATTTCAGTTTACAAGAAGTCCCTTTCCAGAGTGGCTGTACCATTTTGCATTCCTACCAGCAATGTAGGAGTCTTCTAGTTGCTCTGCATCTTCACAAGCATTAAGTATTTTCAGTTTTTTTTTTCCATTCTGATAAGCGTGTAGTGATATCACATTTTGGATTTAATTTGCATTTCCCTGAGGACTAATTACATTGAACTTCCTTTCATGTGCTTCCTTGTCATCCATATAGCTTATTAGTGAGATATCTGTTTAAATCATCTTCATTGTTTTATTGGTTGATTTGTTTTCTAAACATTGACTGTTGAGAGTTCTTTATATATTCCAGATAAAAGTCCTTTGTTTGATATGAGGTTCACAAATATTTTCTTTCAGGCACTGGCTTGTCATTTCAACCTCTTAAAAGTGTCTTTTTGCAGGAAAAAAAGTTAAGTTTTGATGAAGTCTAATTTATCATTTTATAATGGATCATGCTTTTGCGGCCATATTTAAGAACTCTACCTAACCCAAAGTCATAAATATTTTCTTGCACAGTTTCTTTTAACAGTGTTTGGAGTTTTTTGTTTTACATTTATATCTATGATCCATTTCCAGTTAATTTTTGTGTAAGATGTGAGGTATAGCTTGAGGTTCACTTTATTTGCATATGGATGTTCAATTTTTCCAACACCATTTGTGGATAAAGGCTCTTCTTTCTCCATTGAATTGAAATCAATTGAGACAAAATGGTGCATAAGGAGCCCTACAGTCTTTCCTCCCAGCAAGACATTCATAACTTTAAAAATTATTTTTTAAAAACAATAACCACTTAAAGTCTATGGAAATTGTCTTAAGGTAATACAGGAAGTAGAAAAAAATGTCAATTTAAAAAATCTACTAAATCTTGGTAAGAACAGTGCGAGTCCATGATCAAGTGGAATTTATCTTAGAAATGCAGACTTATTGACTATAGACACCCTGCACTCAAATTCTAGGTCTTATTCATTCTATTTCTTTTTGTAACATTAACCATCCCCACCTTTCCTCCCAGCCACTGACTACCCTTCCCAGCCTCTGGTAACCATGCTTCTACTCTTTATGTTCATGAGTTCAATTGCTTTGATTTTTAGATCCCACAATAAATGAGAACATGCAATGTTTGTCTTTCTGTGTCTGGCTTATTTCACTTAACATAATGATCTCCAGTTCCATCCATGTTGTTGCAAATGATTGGATAGCATTATATTTTGTGGCTGAGTAGTACTGCACTGTGTATGTGTACCACATTGACTTTATCTGTTCTGTGTACCCACAAAAATTAAAAATTAAAAAATTAAAAACAGAAATGTATGTACATTTGATTTAACATGTAAAATGTGAATCATCTTAATGCATCGCATTTTTAAAAATACAAAAATCACATGATTATCTCAATAGATGTAGAAAAAGCATTTGGCAAAGTTCAACACAAGTTCATGATGAAAACATTCAAATATGTAAGTTCACTGAGGTTAGTTGTGCAGATTAATGATTTCCATCAAATTTGGGAAAATTGGCGGCCTTGAAATATTTTTCTTCCCCTCCTTTCTTTCCTCTCTTCCCATTATGTGGGTGACAATATGCTTAATGGTGTCCCAACAGTTCTTTAGGGCTCTATTCATTTTTCTTCATCCTTTTTCCCTCCTTTTCTTCTGTGTGGGTATTCTCGGTCAATGTCTTTGAGTTCATTGATTCTTTCTTCTGTAAACTCAGATCTACTCTTGAGCCCCTCTGGTGCATTTTTCATTTCAGTTATTATAATTTTTGACTCCATAATTTCCATTTGGCTCATTTTTTATAACTTGTATTTCTTTATTGATATACTCTCTTTGGTCAGTTACCCTTCTCATGCACCTATTTAGTTCTTTACAAGTGCTGCCCTTTAGTTCTTTGAATATGTTTAAAGCTGATTTAAAGTTTGCCTAGTCAGTAAAACTTCTGGGTCTCCTCAGAGACAGTTAATATATATTATGCTTTTCCCCTTGTGTCTGAGTCTTATTTTCCTGTCCTTTACATGTCTTGTGAATTTTTTGTTGTTGAAATTGCATATATTAAATAATATAATATAGCAATTCTGTAATTCACATCCCTCCCTTCCAGGGTTTGTTGTTTTTGATGTCTGTTTTTAGCTTTGTTTTTTGTTTGTGGGTTTTTTTTTTTTTTTTTTTTTAGTGACTTTCCTAGACTAACTCTGTAAAGTTTATGTTTTTGTCTCGAGTAGCTACTGGAATCCTTGCTTAGTTTTTTTCATAGCTATCTAGTGATTGGACAGATATTTCCTTAAATGGTTAGAACCAGTGTATCTATCTCTCACTAATTGCTAAGTGGTTCTGTGTATGTGTGTTGGAGCATCTTTCTAATTCCAAGGCAGGAATCTTGCCTCCTCCCCTTAACTTTCACTTCCTGCTTGCAAAGAGCCTCCAGGTCAGTCAGAGGTGAGAGATTTGGGCCTTTTCAGGTCTTCCTTGAACATGTGCACAGCCCAACATATATGCATGGTCTTCTAGGGTCCTAAGAATATTTTGGAATTTTTCGAAGCCCCCTACATTTCATTCCCCATGTTTTAAAGTTTTTGTTTGTTTGTTTGTTTCTTGAGAGAGAGAGTCTCACTCTGTTGCCCAGGCTGGAGTACAGTGACGCGATCTTGGCTCACTGTAACCTCTGCCTCCTAGGTTCAAGTGATTCTCCTGCCTCAGCCTCCCAAGTAGCTGGGACTACAGGCGCACACCACCATGCCCGGCTAATTTTTTGTATGTTTAGTAGAGGCAGGGCTTCACCATGTTGGCCAGGCTGGTCTCAAACTCCTGACCTCAAGAGATCGGCCTGCCTTGGCCTCCCAGAGTGTTGGGATTACAGGCGTGAGCCACCACCCCTGGTCTTTAAAGTTTTTAGAATCTGTTCTTGTTTGCCATATTATCACCATGTCACGTAGCTGTGATGTTAGACAATTGTCTCTGATTGCTTTTCAACATATGCTTTCAGGGAAAGGGCTGTTTGCACTGAGAAATCTTTGAGTTAGGTAACATAAATACAACTCCTGTGAGTGACAGCATGAGGGAACTACCTCACAGGTCAAATAATAACAGTTCTCTAGGAATGGGGCCTGTTGGGGAGCACCAAACTCAATACTCCCCTCTCCAGTGGTTTCTAGGCCACTGATTGTCATAGCTACCATAATTGCAAGGCTGTTGGTTTTCAAGGCTACCATAGAACTGGGGAGAAGCAGGTTGAAAAGGGGCATGTTAAAATGGCACAAAATTATTCTTACCAAGATACCCTCATTTTTCTTCTATAAATACACCTTAGATGGATGCAAATCTTTCTCTAATTTTCAGATTTCTGAAATAGTTAATTTTGATAATCTTTGCTTGTGCCTTCATTGCCTTTATAGAGGAGAAGTTTTTCAGATCCCACCATTACATGGAGGAATAGGTGGCTATTTCTGTTTTGTTTGTTTGTTTGTTTGTTTTGCTATTGACCTTGTTTGGTAATATTTTTATTTTTCTTGCTGTATTTTTCAGTTCTAAAAGATACATTTGATTTTTTTGTCTTTTGTTTCTCTTTTGAGACTTTCTGTCTTTCCATCCCTCTTAAGACTATTTGCACTTACTTTATGGAGTATGGTTGTAATAGCTGCTATAGTGTTGAATAATTGCAACATTTGATTCATCTCAGAGCCGATGTCTGTTTATTGTGTTTTCCCTGGAGAATTTGTCAGAATTTCATAATCTTTGTATATTTAGTAATCTTAGATTGTATTTTGGGCATTGTTGATATTTTAAGTTTTGAGGTATATAAATAAATTCTATGAAGCTTTTTTTAAACAATTGAGCCAGTTATATGCAGTCCCCATGTTTCAACTTGCCTTCACTTCGCTGGGGTTCCAATATAAAGCTTTCAGTTTTGAAAGCTTTAGCAGTACTATTTAGATCTTTCCACTGTGTGCACCACCCAGGGGTCAGTCTGAGACCTTTGGTATGCTGTGTATTATTATATCAATGTGTACACAATTTGGATATGAGTCTAGAATTGATTGGCAACTTTATGGGATCCCATTCTTGTGCTTCGCCTTCTCCCTTGACTCTCCCATGTTCTCCATCTGACAAAGCCGTGTTTTTTGGTTATCTCACTAGAGAGCCAGGGTTTTCTTTTTCTCTGCTTTCTCACAAATTCCCTGCATCTGTCTCTGTCTCTGGGGCCAAGTGATAGGAAAGTAAAAAGAGAAAGTAAGCAACAGACTTTCCCCCCATACTCTTTGGGCCACCATTCTTCTGGCAAGAAGATCTTCCTTCCACAGAATTTTAGGTGTCTGCCTGCCTGCTGCTGCACCACTACCATAGTGTTGCAGCACCAGGAATGAAACTTGCTTACAGGCCAGGCCTGGAGGGAAAACTACAAATAATACACTCCACTCTTTCTGTACCTTAGGCATTCTCCTTCCCAACTTAGACTAGAAAGAGATGGCTTCCCTTGGACTTCTTTCTGTCTGCAGTTGATGCAGTTCCAGGACACAGACTGCATGAGTCCAAATCAGGACATATAGAAATGAAAAAAAAAAATTGGTAACTCAGTGCCAGATTGTTTATTATTCCTGTTCCTACTTCTTACCCCAATATTTTTGCTGCCATTTACTTTTCAGATCTGGAGCCCCATATAGCTGCACCACTCAATCTGCCCAGGGATTTTAGTTGCATTCAGTGGGGGGAGTCAGAGTGAGGTGTGCTTACTCCATATTAACAGAAACTGGAACTCTCTTCAAAATCTGAAGACTGGAAATTGTATTATATTCCTGCTTTCTACTATTAAATATAAATATTAAGTTTTAAATGTATTTAAGCTTATTATAAAATATTGCTTGCAGTGAACTTACAATGAAGGTAAAAATAGCAATTTTAGTAACAAACAGATTCACCTGAGCCCAGGGATGTCGAGGATGTAATGAGCCAAGATTGTGCCACTGCACTCCAGCCTGGGCAACAGAGTGAGACCCTGTCTCAAAGAATAATGATAATAATAATAATAACAAACAGATTAAAGAATAAAAACTTCCCAAAAAAGAAAGTCTCTTCAATAAAGGAAGATGGAAATCACCTGTTTTCAGAGATGCATTTTTATTCATAGGTTAAAGTATGGAATAAAGCAAGCTCTTCTACTCTTTTCTAAGTTACGCTAAGCCCTCTCTAAACACACCTCTTTAAAGACTAATTACTAAATTACAATACTGAGTTTTTCTTTAATTTGAGGAACCAGTCAAATAAGTTTATCCTTAAATTTTCTTCCAAGTAGTCTCAGAAATTCAAGACACATAGGAAGAAATCCCTAGGTTAGCTATACTACTAATAATGTTACTTTTATACAAAAAAATCATTATTTCTTACTTGTGTAATATTACAAATAGATATTACATTCTGGGGGAAAGTCCAAGTGAGTTCTCACACTCCAAAGCAAGGACAAAATAATCCAAGTCCAAACAATGCTCAACTTTATGCAAATTTATGAACACTAACTAGATCAGTTCACATTTGTTTGGAGGCCAGGAATTTTTTAAAAATCTGATGAAATCTAGATCCATCTCCCCAGAAAAATGCATACACACACATTTTTATCTGATTTTCATGATTTTTTATCAGATTATGTAACTATAAAGAGAGCTAGATCATATATATATATATATATATATATATATATATATACACACATACACACACACACGCATGCACACAATTTTGCATACATTTGCAGAGGTTTTTTTATATACTCTCAATATTAGATTAAGAACATTTGTCCTAGAAATGAATGACTAATAAATTTGTTTCTTTTCAGCCCCTCTTTCCTGAGTTCCAGACCTTTATTTTCAACTTTCTATGGGAAAACTTTACTTACATGTACTGGAGTCACTTCAAATTAAGCTGTCATACCGAAATTGCCACTTCGCCCTATTTTCCTTTTCTCACAGTTAATGGATTCACCATCCACCTGATTACTCAACTAAAATCCTAGGAGTCATCTCAAAATCTCCCTCTCACTCACACCTCACTACAATCAAAACTAGTCCTATCCATTCTACCTTCTAAATATACTCTAAATCTATCCTCCCACCCTCTCCTCCACTGCTAAGATGTGACCTGAAGACCTCATTATGTTCTACCTAATCTATTATAGAGGGCTCTTAAGATGGCTCTTTGCCTCTACTTTTCCATATCCAGTATATCCTTCACACTGTTGCCAAATATATTTCTGAAACATGAATTTGTATGTTGCACTCCTCTTCTAATGTCTAAAGCACTGATTTCAGAAGCAAAATTAAAATATAATAATATAAAAATCAGAGGACTCATGTTTGTTTCTCAAGTCAGATATCTTGTGGAAGCCCAGTATATCAGGCAGAAAAAGATAGGATAAAATTCCCAAACTTGCCCTATTATGAGTCTCCGCATGTGTGGGGAGCCAGTTAAAAGTAGCACTTGCCAAAGTCTCATTCCAGACTTCCTAGGCATAATTTTCGCGGGCAGGTCACAGGAATCTGCATTTTCTAGAAATACCGGATGATTTTTATAAACAGGCAAGTTTGAAAATATTTGTTTGAGGAAGGCATCAAATGATTTAAGATGACACAAAAAGGGACATCACAATTTGACCCCAATTTATTTTTCTAACCTGCTTTTTTCATGCAGCGTATCTTCCAACCACATCAAACTATTCACCATTCTTTGAATTTGCCACACCCTTTATTTTTGTCAATGTGCCTTTGCACATCAACTTTCCTTTTCCTGGTATGCTTTCCTCACCTTATCCACCTGTTGCCTGTCTTCCTATCCTTGAAGAACCAGAGCAAAGCTCACATTTTCTGTGAAACCGTCCCTGACTCTTCCTAGGGCTAGGGCTTAGCACATTACACATCTGTATTAGTCCATTCTCACACTGTTAATAAACACATACCCAAGACTGGGTAATTTATAAAGGAAAGAGGTTTAATTGACTCACAGTTCCATATGACTGGGGAGGCCTCACAATCATGGTGGAAGGCAAAGTCACGTCTTACATGGCAGCAGGCAAAAAAAGCATGTGCAGGGGAACTCCTCTTTATAAAACCATCAGATCTTATGAGATTTATTCACTATCACGAGAACAGTATGGGAAAAACCCACCCCCATAATTCAATTACCTCCCACCAGGACCCTCCCATGACACGTGGGAATTATGGGAGCTACAATTCAAGATGAGATTTGGGTGGAGATACAGCCAAACCATATCAACATCTTAGTCTCTGCCATTAGTTTGATAGCAAGCACTATGTCTGATCTCCATCTGTATCCTCTTTAAAACATAGCACAATATTTAGTACATAATAACCACTGAATAAATGTCTTAAATAATGACTGAGTGAATCCATGAATTCATGAATAAATAAATGAATAAATTCATGAATAAATGAACAACCAAGGTCAGCAAATATCACACTTAAAAATATAATTATTTGCAGAAAGAAAGACATTGAGCCTACATTAATTGGTCTGTAATTTCTTTTAAAACATTTTGGTATATATTAATACAATGTGATAAAGACATAGGCATGGTCAATATTAATTTATAACCAAGGTACAGTTAGTTAACATTTGAAGTATAATAAACTACCACATACCCTTCACCTAGATTCAGGGATCCACATTCCTATGGTGAGTAGTTATCATTCCAAGGACATGCTCCAGTTCTTCAATATTTCTATGTAAGTGTACAAAATAGAGTTTTTTAATTAGTATACAAAATAATTTTTCATTGGTGAAATTAAAATAGTTCAAATTTTGTGGTTGTTGTACTGGAACCTCCACTTTGTCTTTGAGGATCTGGTGAGCTCAGCCAACTAACAACTTCAAACTACTTACATCTAAGACCCTGGCTTTATTTACTTTTTTATATAAATTTAAGGGGTACAAGTGCAGTTTTGTTAAATGGATATATTGCATACTGGTGACATCCAGGCTATTAGTGTAACCATCACCCGAATACTGTACATTGTACACGTTAGATAATTTCTCATGCCTCTTTCCTTTTCCACCTTCCATCCTCTACCATGTCCAAGATAATATTTGAACTAATGCCAATCCTTCACCCACAGCCCCCTACCTAATACTTATTGTCTGATGTGATTAGAAGACTTACTGTTTGTGCCATCAGTATGTTCGTGCACCCATTTCCAAGTAAGCCTTTCATGCAAAGTGCCAGTGTCCAAGGAAATAGTTGATAAGGACTTCAAAGAACATAGAAGAACAAGTTGTATGACATTTTTTTTTGTGTGATTGTTAATGTCTTTAAGTGGGGCAGAATGCAGCCTGAGCTTTGCTTTAATTGTAATATACCATTTGGTAGTGAGGCTAATCAGCAAAATACATATATCTCCTACCTATGTTTTCCTGCCACTTTTTATTTTGAAAAATTTTGAGCCTACACAAAGGTTGCAAAGATAATATAATAACCTACCACATACTCTTCACTTAGATTTATCAATTATTAATGTAAAATGATTCCACATTTATGCTTCCTGTCTTTCTTGCATTCCCATTCCCTCTATATATGTCTTTTTCTCCCCCTGCATATGTATTTAGTGCTTACTTTGCAAGTTGAATACTGTATTTCATGAAAATTCACTCCCAAATTCTTCATCATGTATCTTCTAAGAACAAAGGCATTCTCCTACATAATCACAATGCAATTTTCACATTCAGAAAGTTTAACATTGATATGATACTATTATCTAATATACAGTCCATACCTGTACTTTCTCAATTGTCCCAGCAATGTCTTTTATAGGTCTTTATTTCTTAATCCATTATCCGATCACAGATCATGAAGTGCAGTTGTTTATCATACTTAACCTCTTTAATCTGCAATAACTTTCCAGCCATTCCCTCTCTCTCTCTCTCTCTCTCTCTCTCTCTCTCTCTCTCTCTATCTATCTCTCTCTCTCCCCCCCCCCCTTTTCCTTTTTGAGACAGGGTCTCACTCTGTCACCCAGGCTGGAGTGCAGTGATGCGATCATGGCTCACTGCAGCCTCAACTTCCTGTGCTCAAGCAATCTTCCTGCCTCGGCCTCCCTAGTAGCTGGGACCACAGGCACAAGCCACCATGCCTGACTAATTTTTTCACTTTTTGTAGAAACATGGTCTCACTATGTTGCTCAGGCTACTCTTGAACTCCTGGGCTCAACAGAGCCTCTTGTCTCAGCCTCCCAAAATCCTGGGATTACAAGTGTGAGTCACCGTGCCCAGCCATTTTCTCTTTTTTTTCATGAACCCGATATTTTTGAGGAGTCCAGGTCAGCTGTTTGGCATAACATCTATCAATTTGGATTAGTCTCATTGTTTTTTCATGATTGGGTTTAGGTTAAATGTGACAGAAATACCACATAGTTGATGTTTTGTCCTCCTTAGTGCATCACAAAACAAAGTAAGTTTATTCCCTTATTGGTAGTTACAATTTAGATCACTTGGTTAATGCAGTGTCCAGTAGATTTTTCTTGTCGAGTTACCTCTCTTCTTTGTAATTAGTAACTAATTTTTCACATGATACTTTTAGACTATGTGAATGTCTTGTTCTTCAAGCCTTTGTTCACTGATGATTTTTAATATTGTTGATTGAAGCAATTATTATGATGGTGTTTGTAAAATGTTTGTCTTCAATTTTTTTTTCAGACCAGGTCTTGCTCTGTCACCCAGGGTCAGTGCAGTGTCTTTACAGTTCTTTATGTCCTTAGAATATATCCCAGTGAGGATAGTCACAGTACTATGTTCAAATGTTGCTTGGATTAATTCTTCGTGTGTGTGGTTTTGTTATCAATATGATTAATAATTAAATCAATTTGCTTATCTTAGTATTTAATTGTAGCTTTTGTTACTCTTGCTAATTAAGTTTTATTTTTTGAATATGCAAAACATTAACATGGTTTGAAATCCAAAGCTATATACAAACGGGATACTCTGAGAAATCTCACTCTCTTCTCTTTTACTTTTACATCATCACCACCCATCTGCTGTAGATGCCAATTTAATTAGTTTGTGGTTTATTTTTCCTGTGTCTGTTTTTGCAAAAATAAGAGGATACACACACACACACACACACACACACACATTATCCCTTCATCCTTACACAAAATGTAATATGTACTATGAAGCCTTTGCTTTTTTCACTTAATCACATGATCTGGAAGTTACTCAGTGTTAGTTAATTGTTATTTTCCTATTTTTTCATAGCTTCGATTGACCATATTTCATTCACGTAATCTTTCAAGTGTGGGCATTTAGGTTGTTTTTGGTATGTTGTGATTACACCTAATGCCACCATGAATAAATTCGTGCATGCCTTTCTCCCAAAATTAGTTGAGAAATGCCAAGAAGACTGGCAATTTAAAGGGTAAATGCATATTTAATTTTGATAGATATTACTGAATTCTCCACCATAGGGTTTGTACCATTTTGCATTCCCATTGGCAATGTATGACAGTAAATGTTTTCCCATAACCTTCCAAACAACTTACCATCAAGCTTTTGAATTTTTGCCAAACTGAGAGGTAAAAAATGGTATTTGAAAGCTTTAATTTGCATTTCCCTTATTATGTGTGGAGTTTAGCAATTTTTCTATGTTCAAAACTAACTGATACATCTTTTTTATGAACTTGTTTAAGCCTTTTGTGCCTTTTATCCATTGAATTTTTGGTGGCTTCTTCCATTCTATATTGTGAAGCCAGCTTTTCATCTACTATCTCATCTTCCCGTTATTATCCAAGGCAATAAAACACCAAGAGTGTTATGAATTGCTTAGGCCAATACACAGCAACTTATTTGCTAATGCTAGTATACTGTGTGACTCGTCTTATGACTTGAATAAGAGGAGGAGAGTTCAAAGGGACTTATGAAGATAACATTAAGTCTTTAAGTGCTTTTCTGAAACTCTTGGGGACAGGTGTTTCCAGAGTTTAGGCTTTTGTGAATTTTAGAAAGGTAATGGGTGTATATGCTGTATATTATGTAATATCATCCATCAGCTCTGGGATAGTACCACATAATCAAAGAAATATTTCTGGAGCAAAATGTATGAATATACTAAATGGGATAAATAAAACTATAAGCACCCTCACATCAACCCAGATCAGGTTTTGTGGTCAGATTAATTTAGGTAACGCCTGCTTTTGCCACCAAATGCTTAATAAATAAAACTCAGTTTCCAGAGTATTTTTGGATATGGGAATCATGGATAACAAATTGTAGACCTGTAGTTTATTAAACAAGCTACTTTGGGGTATTGTTTATTCAAGAAAGCTGTGTATCATTAAATAAATTCTTAAGAGAATCCTAAAGATAATTCCAGGAAAATGCCTATTTAAAAATCATAACAGCAAATTGTTTATACTAAGTTGACTATATTGAATAAACTCCCTTAAATATCAAACATCATAAACTCTATTTAATCAATATGAATAGGGAATTAAGTTGTGTGGTTGCTTAGAATTCTGAAATTGCATAAAACAGTTATTTTTTTCTTAGCTAGGACACATTTAATGTGAATTTTTAAAAAACATACAAAAATAACTTTCTTTTCTTCCAAATTACAGATGTGTTTGGTTATTTGTTTATTATCATTGTCCCTCAAGAATTATTTCATTCACTACTGTGTCTCAGTACCTAGCACAATGTCTGACTGGCTGTAGGTGCTTGATAATTATTTTAAATGAATTAATAAATGAAAGGAGATTACAAGAAGAAGACATAATAAGGGAAATGTAATTGTTCACTCATCTGCAATGAAAGTACAGGTTTTGAACAATAATTTAAAGGGCGGTGACACTCTACCTCTTCTTCCATACCAATTTAGATTTATCTAGAAATAGGCTGGGCATGGCACCTCATACCCGTAATCCAGCACTTCGGGAGGCTGAGGTGGAAGGATCACTTGAGGCCAGGAGTTCAAGAACAGACTGGGGAACATAAGGAGACTCTATCTCTTTAAAAAAAAACAAAAAAATTAGCCTGGCATGGTGGTGTGTGCCTGTGGTCCAAGCTACTCAAGGAGGCTGAGGTAGGAGGATTGCTTGAGCGTGGGAGGTCGAGGCTGCAGCCATAATTGTGCCACTGCTCTCCAACCTGGGCTACAGAGCAAGACTGTCTCTTAAAAAAAATGGAAGAAATGATTTATCTAGCAATAAACTCACATATATCTGGAGAGAACGACTACTTCTCTTGCAAAGAGGAAGAAGTCAACTTTGCTTGAACAGGTGGAAGTTAGTTACCTCAAGATGCCACTACTTTATGTCCCTTCTTTCCCAAATTATCACCCCTAAAAATAGATCATTAGAGAAAAATTAAAATATGCAACTTCTGTCATATTTTGCTTCTGTCTTCAACTTGCTGAACTGCCTTTCAAATACATTTCCCCTTTTTGCATATTTGCATTATTTTTCAGGCTAAAAATAATACATGCTCATGATAGAACATTTAGAAAAATTATAGACCATTTGGGAAACAAGGACAAATAGGAAGAAGGAAAAATAATTCACAGGCTCAACCCTCAGAGATGACTCATAATGTTTTAGTATGTTTTCCTCTAGTCATTCTTCTAAGTATATTATTTTTAATATACCATGTAGACAGTTTAAATCTTGTTTTCTAATCTTTTACACTATAAAGATGTTCCGTATTACTACAAAATTTAACGGACATTATTTTAAATAGAGGCATTAAATTCCATTACATGGAAACAACAACATTTTTCTTAACCTTTCCCCTAGTATTAGACAATTCAGTTGTTTCTGATGTTTAGATATAATAACACTTTAAAGATCAGATTGTAAATATCTTTTCTGTAATTGGCATTTTTTTTCTCAGAATAGTCTCCCAGGTGTGGAATTACTGGGTCAAATGAAATGAAGATATATAAACAAATTAGACATTCTTAAGCAATCTTTAAGAATTAGAACAAATCTAGATATCTAGGGATATCTAGCCTGATGAGACCATTTTGGTCCGCACAAGTAGCTCATAACATGAACCTGGAAACATAACCCAGAGGAACTCCATTACCCACTTGCAGTGTATGGCTTTTGTTCTGAACCACTAATTATACTCTGAAATTGAGGCAGTTTTGTCAAGCAATGAGGCAATCTGGATGCTTGTCAATAAGAATGTGTTAACAAATTGCCAAGGAGATGTCTTCATTATGTTTGCATTGGGCTGTGTTCAATTTACCCCTTATTTCACTGAAACAGTCATTGCCTTGTGTTTTAAAACACCAATATTTCACTTTTCACTGCCTTAATCCTAAACCTATTAGAATTCCCTTGGGGGATTTTGAAAACCCAGCAGCATTATGGCTTACTGTTGCACATTTGCCATCTAGTGGCTAAAGTGAAAAATTGCAGACTTACACCCTCTCTCTAGTTGGGGGAAGAGGACACTTAGAGCCTGTTTTTCTCAAGAAACCCATAGTGGTGGAAAGCACAAACTGTCAATAATACTCAATAAGGATGGGTAGGATTGCTATACAGGATGTACCTATGTGCAGTTAGGAGAAGAGCCTGTGCCAAACGGAGATAGAACTCGGAGGATATCACAGAGCTTTTTCCCAACAAATGTTACCTCCTTATTCCTATGCCCCAAAAACTCACTGTTCTCAGTGAAATCAGACTCAAAGGAAAATTAAGGTTAGCCTTGAAATTTAAAACAAATCATCAAGGGCACCATGATGTTATGCATGGAAAAAGGGAAGATGTCTTTGTTTGTACTGTTAGAATAGCTGAGACTGGGTAATTTACAAAGAACAGAAACTTATTTCCCACAGTTCTGGAGGCTGGGAATTTCTAGACCAAAGCACCAGCAGGTTCAGTTGTTTGGTAAGAACTGTTCTCTGCTTCTAAGATGGCTCCTTACTGCTTCATCTTCTAGAGGGGAAGAAATGCTGTTTTCTCACATGGCAGAAGGTTGAAGGTCAAGGAGGCTGAACGTCGTGTGAAGTCACTTTTATAAGAGCCTTAATCCCATTAAAGACAGAGAGGAGCCCTCCGGCCTAATCACCTCTTCAAGGCCTTATCTCTTAATGCCATCACATTGGCAACACCTGAATTTTGGAGGCTACACATTCAAACCATAGCAGAAAGTGACCTCATTTGCTTTGCTATAGAGACTGGGTGTTTATTAGTAGATTGTTTTAATATGAGACTCAGATCTTTTAGTTACCATCTTGTAATGTTCCTTTCTTTCTCTCTCCTGGCAGTCTGTTTGAGTTAACTTCCAGTCAAATAGAATGTGCTATGAAAACACAGTTGCCCAGATTTACTGTTTCTTTGAATAAATAGGATTGGTAACTTTCTATCTGCTTTCTAACTTTTTTTCAAATTATTTCAACCTAGTCAAATGACATACAATTTTGAGAATGTAGACCATGCAAATTGTACAAGAAATTCTCTCTTAAGACATTCAATGAAGATGCTCAGATTTTGGGAGAGTCAGTAAATATAGAGATGAAGTGTGTGGGGGTGGTGAAGCATTCTTTCAAAAATAAGCTGTGAAAATTGTTAAGAACTGAGCTGATATTCAAATTTACACAGAATTTTCTTTTTCCTTCAGTCATGCCGGCCTTGGGAAGGGTAAAGAAAATATTAAAAAGTGGGTGAAGTTAGAGGTAGTGAAACATTTTCAATAGTAGCAGATTAACAAGCAGTATTGCGTTTGAACTATTTTTGTGTAGCCAGTTATACATACCATTTATATAAATTTACAAATTGAAAAAGAAAACTTACCCTAAAATGAGCCAAATGCAGAAGGCCTCCCACCTCCACCTCAAAATATTTTGATACATGTGTTCCATAATCACTCTATATCCAAGCACCAGCAGGTTCGATTTTTTAGTAAGAACTGCTCTCTGCTTGAATGAATGTCACTGGACATTCATTCAACAAGCAGCTACTAAATGCACTTGAAAATTTAAAGATATATGTATGTATACCTTTGACCCAGCAAACCTATTGCTTAGAATCTACTGTTTGATTATACTCACAAAAGTATGGCAAGATATGGTTACCAGTATGTTCACTGCAACATTGTTTGAAATAGCAAAACACTGTTAATGATCCATTGACAGTGATAAGGTTATACTAATTTAAGTTAAAATTCCTCATTACAATGGAATAATATGTATCTATTAAAAAGAATGAAGCAGAATTCTACGTGCTCATATAGAAAGCTCTCCAAATTACAATAAGTGAAAAGCAAGGCATAATACAATAATATCTGTATATGTAATCTAATATATACACACATATACAACCATATGGTGTCAGACATTCATTAAGACAATTTCCCACTGCTAGAGGTTACTTAAAAACACAAGAAGTATGACCAAAACGAAGCCCTATTGAGTCAGATCATGAAATTCTTTAAGGTCTTCAAAGCCTAGTTTTAAAAAGTCTGACCCTTGGTCTGAGTTGTTCCCATGTGTACCATCCTGAAAATGGAGGAGTAAAGAGAAATGTCAAGTATTTATCCTGACTTTTCTTGAATGAGCCATATCTGAAGATAATGAAGTCTGGAAGAACAGTAGCATTTTGAGGAAATGACTTAAGGTCCCAGGATTTGCTTTATTATTCAAAGTGAGCCCTAAATTCAGATGCTGGAGTTTTTATCCAGCATCCTCTTACCATACTTTGGAGTTTCCTTTTTACTTATCTTGAGTGTCTGATTCCATTATGTTGCCAACTCACTCCAATTAATATTTGGTGAAGAAAATTGAGTGCATAACACTTACTGATTGCTTATTTAGTTACATGCATTATGCGAAGTACTCATTAATCTCCACAGCTACCCTTTGAGATAGGTACTAGTATGTTTCTCATCTTACAAATGAGAAAATACACTTTGATGCTCTACTTAGTGGGGGCCTCTTTAATTACTACATATATGACCTGGACGCTCTTGTCCCCTTTCTTACTTTTATGAAAATGTTTTTGTCCTATGAGCCAGGCACGGTGGCTCATGCCTGTAATCCCAGCACTTTGGGAGGCTGAGTTAGGTGGATCACCTGAGGTCAGGAGATCGAGACCAGCCTGGCCAACATGGCCAAACCCCATCTCTACTAAAAATACAAAAATTAGCCAGGTGTGGTGGCGAGCGCCTGTAATCCCAGCTACTTGGGAAGCTGAGGCGGGAGAATCACTTGAACCTGGGAGGCAGAGGCTGCAGTGAGCCGAGATCATGCCACTGCACTACAGCCTGGGTAATAGAGTGAGACTCCATCTCAAAAAAAAAAAATGTTTTGTGCATTTATTCCCTTAGAAGCATGTACATTTTTCAAAGGTTGTGTGTTAATCTGTAGAAAGGTATTTATGCTTGATTGGAGGTTAGCGTGTCACCCTTATTTGAAAATATTTACTCATTAAACAGAAGATTTCTGCAGACACAGCTTGTATTTAATTTCTCATTAATCAATTTACATGATGGGGACTAGAGATCTCTTAGAACTTTGTTTTGTGGAGTATATAGACATTAGTCAAATAATTCATAGACACATATAACTTTAAACTCTGATAAATGCTATGAAGGCAAAACAGGGTGGTCAGTGACAATCTGGTGGATTAGATAGAGAGGGCTTCCCTGTGGAAGTGAAGTTTGTCTCCACAAATGAAGGAAAAGAAGGAGTAAACTAGGAAAATTGGGAGTGGGGGTATTCGAGCCATAAGAATATCATGGGCAAATACTCAGGCGTGGCTGGGAGTCTAATGATCCAGGAAATGAAAGAAGGTCTGAGTGGCTAGGACATAGAGCACTGTGCTGAGAATGGTGGGCCAAGAGACTGGAGAGGTAGGCACAGACCAGAAACTGTGTGAAATCTGAGAGAAGTAAACAGAAAATTTTACAGTTGGATAGATAATTAAAAATTGTGGTGTTAAGTGCTATAAATGACATGAGCGCTAAGAGAAACCTCTGAAGCATACTTTGAAATTCAGGAAAGACTTCCCAGAAAATGTGAGCCATGAAGAATGACAAGGCATTAGCTAGGATATCAGGAAGGAACGGTGGTGGTTAATAGTGTCCCAGGTAGAGGGAACAGCAAAGGCCTGGATATGAGAGATAGCGCAGCAAGGTTAAGGAACTGAGGAATAAGGAGCCTTATTAAAATGCTATTTTAAAATGCTGACCTTGGGCCGAGTGCAGTGGCTCACGCCTGTAATCCCAGCATTTTGGGAGGCCTAGGCGGGTGCATTGCTTGACCCCAGGAGTTTGAGACCAACCTGGGCAATATAGCAAAACCCTGTCTCTACCAAAAAAATGTTTTAAAAATTAGCTGGGTGTGGTGGCACACGCCTGTGGTCCCAGCTACCCGGGAGGCTGAGGCAGGAGCAACATTTGAGCCCAGGAGGAGGAGGTTGCAGGGAGCCGAGATTGCACTCCAGTCTGAGTGACAGAGTGAGATCCTGTCTCAATTAAAAAAAAAAAATGCCGACCTTCGCTGACCGGGGAGAAAGTTGGGGGCAACAGTGGATGTAGAGGAAAAGACTGTTGGCATAATTCAGGCTGAAACAAGTAAACTACGGCAGTGGCAGCAATGGAAGAAAGTAAGAGTCTGATTATATAGATATTAAACAGGACGAATGGCTGCTTGCTTGGTGAACTATTATGGAGGAAGGGTGAGGAAGACAAAGAAGCCAGGTTTCTCATGGGGGTTACTGGGTGGCTTAAGATCCTGTTCCTTTTGTTACAATGAAGGAGGATCCTAATGGGAAGCTTGAGTTGAAGGAGTTTAATATGAGTCATGTTAAGTGTTACGCATCTGTGGACCACTGAAGTGAACATGTCCATTTGAGAGATGTGCATTTTTGCCTCTATAACTAAGGACAGATATGTAGGCTGCAGTTATAGATGTAGGCATCATCAGTATATTGAAGGTATAGAAATGGATGATATAGCTCAGAGAGAATGTGCAGAATCAAAAGAGGGCTTAGAAAATTTTTTTGAAAACAATACTATTTAAGAGGCAGAGAGGAAATAAGGAGCCTCTGAAGGAAAGTGACTAAGCAGCTAGAGAAGAAAAACTAGGAGAAAGTGATGTCACAGAATCTAAAGAAGGCAATGTAAGAAGAAGGGAACGATCAGCATTGACAGATGAAATGGAGAAATCAAATAAGGTAAATACAGAGAAGTATTCATTAGGTACACAACGAAAAATTTCTAGGTGACCTTTACACAAGCAATTTCATAGAAGTGGCTGGAGCCAGAGGGTAGCGGGATTAGGAATAAGGAACAGGTAAAATAATGAAGATCATAAGACCAGATAACCCATTCATGAGGTTTGGTTGTTACAAGTATGAGATACGTGGAAAATGTGGAGGGTTTTTGTTTGTTTGTTTAATTGATTTTTTTTTTTTTTGCTGTTGTTTTTTACATGGAAAGAGGTTTAAGAAGATATAAGTGGTGATGAGAAGGTGTCAATATAGAAGAGACTGAAGATCAAGGAGGGAGGATAATAAAGATAGGTTGCTGAAATGAGGGGGGAAATAGGAGGCAGATTATAGGTGGAAGGATTATTGTTACTATTGTTACAAAGGATGCCGGATATTGCTTTGATTCTAAAAAGTGAGGAGGGGAAGAATATACAGATAATATTCCAGAACTGATGGCAATACCGTAACGCAATACCTTTCTCATATTTTCTTAATGAAGAAGAATTCACATTCATCTGATCAAAGGGAGGGAAATAGATGGCAAAGCAGAAATTTGAGCAGAATGGAGAATAGCCACTGTGGAGAATGGGAGACATAGTTGATGAAGGTAAAAAGATTATTTATTGTTACTGTGGCTCTCTTTAGGTTGGATCTGTATTGGTGGCAGTTGGTATGATGGTGTGAGTTTTGTCTCATGTTCAGTAATCAGAAGATAGTACAGAGAATACAAAGTTAGACCCGGGTACAGCTACATCAAATAATTATGCAAGTTGTCCATTAAACTACCCTAGAGAGTAACACTTATGTTTTAAGCTTGTTTGTTTCCTTTTCAATTATTTTCTTCGGAGGCTACACCTTTAAAATGGCATTTTCATCAGATGTTGTAAGCTTACTTAGTATCTAGTGAATTTCCTACTGGAGACCTCAAACAACTTGATACTATACCATATATTTTGTGCTGTGGTTCCACAAAATCAATATGGTTTAGGGACTGTGTTAGGGCCTTTAGTGGTCTGAACCACACAACCTCTGAACAACCCGCATAAGTATATTTGGTAGTCCTGACAAAATTGGCTTCTTGCCAGGTGAATACAGTGAAAGGATAAAGAAGAAAGGAACTTGAAAATATTGTAAAGATAATAAAGTGATAGTCTATGGAAACTAACTTGGATCGGAAATAAGTTAATGGCAAAAGGGATAAAGTAAGGGACTAACAATATTGGAAGTGCCTATAGGCTGAAGAACAAGTATAATGAACATTCCTATTGTATGTCTCATGCATCTCAAGAGGGCAATTCCAATATGCCACCCAAAGGCCCTAACACTATATCTAAACCATATTTATTTCGTGGAACTACAGCACAAAATATATGGCATGGCATCAAGTTGTTTGAGATCTCCAGTAGGAAATTCACTAGATACCAAATGAGCTTGCAACATCTGGTGAAAATGGCATATTAAAGGTGCAGCCTCAGAAGAAAATAATTAAAAAGTAAACAAACAAGCCTAAAGTGCTTCTTAGCCTCAGAATTCTGTAATAAAGTACCTACATAAATAAGAAAAAAGAACTTGACTCTTTTCCTTCAGTTCTCTTATTTCCAAACGCTTAAATCGTGTAGTTTCAGAAGTATAGTAATTTCATTATGCTTTGTGAATGCTTGATTTATCAAAGACATTTCCCAGATAAAATTTGAACTCTAAGTGATATATGTTGACTTTAATAATAAAAATAAATAAAAACCCGGCTGGGGGTGGTGGCTCACACCTGTAATCCCAGTACTTTTTGAGGCCGAGGCAGGTGGATCACTTGAGGTCAAGAGTTCAAGACCAGCCTGGCCAACGTGATGAAACCCTGTCTCTACTAAAAATACAAAAAATAGCTGGATGTGATGGTGCGTGCCTGTAATCTCAGCTACTCGGGAAGCTGAAGCAGATGAACCACTTGAACCTGGGAGGCGGAGGTTGAAATGAGCCAAGATTACACCATTGCACTCCAGCCTGGGAGACAGAGTGAGACTCTGTCTCAAAAAAAATAAATTAATTGATTAAATAAAATAAAAATAAATTTAAAAACCCTCTGAGTTGATATAGAAAAGTCAGGAAGACAAATATAGACTAAAGTTATTAATCAAAATATATTATTAAATCATTATTTGCCAATGCAATGCTTGGATTAATTATATTATTGCTCTATTGTGATTGATGAGTTAATTTATAATTTATAACTTAAATTTTCTGTATGATGGTGAAAAGCAAAATATAGAATTTAACATTTTTTTTTAAATGTGTGGTCTAAAATATTATGAATATATGCCTAACCATCATTTTGCTGTTTCATTTCTTTTGTTTATGCTGTATGCAAATAGACTGTCAATCAAGAATTTCACAATCTATTCCTCAGGTTGAATGGTTCTGGAGAGCCTAAGATCAGATTCTGACCCTCATATCTTTATATAAACCATATAAATGATATCTGTGAATCTTCTTCCCTATTAATCCTAATTTAAAGCCATAACAAAATAATAAATTGAAAAGTAAACAGTGTGGCATAAACCATTTATTTGAAGTCACACAGACCAGAAAAGACAAATTGAAACTTCTCTAAAGGAGAAATTAATTAAATTGAGTTTTTGTGTGTGTGCAGTTCAAAGATAAAAATTATTTTACTACCCTCAGTCTCCTTGGGACTTTTGGCAAGGGCACACAGAAAACATGGGAAATTCTTTCTAAAAAGGTAAAAATATTATTATTGGATTTGCTACTGAAGGGCCAGTAAGAAACCCCAAATAAACATTTTTTAAATGATTGAAATCAATCTTATTTGACAATAAGATTAATGCACTTTGACAATCTTATTTGACAATAAGATTTAATGCACTTTCTTCAAAGTGCATTAAAATAATTCAAGTGTGTGAACAATGAAATTTCCTGAAACATAATATAATTACCCCCACCTGTAGCAATGAATCAAAATATGTGGTCAGTGGGGATAGGAAACAAGTGTTTTAACAACATCAGAAAATGAGTTTTATATGTATTCTTCACCAATTTTTTTTATGTGTGTGTGGTATTATTTTAGAAGAGATTGGAAAGCAGGAAACCATAATCTTGAGTTTCTCATTTTTGCAGGTGTCTACTACAAGTTTTGTGACCCTTTTATTGCATATAATTAATTTGCAAGCTGAACAGTTTTCTTAAAGCCTATTTTCCTTTGCAGCTTGGGACTGAGTGAGTGGAAGAATTTTACCTAAATGTTACACTTAAATTGAGGTTTCAAAGAAGCATATGAATGGATAAGGCTTTAACTATATAGTAAAGTTGAAGAAAAAATGTTCACCGTGTAAAGCAAAGATCTTTTTTCCATGTGAACTTGACTTTTTCATTCTTTTCATTATCTGATTTAAATTGACACTCACATAGAAATGTATTTATATGATCTCTCTCTCTCTCTCTCTCTCTCTCTCTCTCTCTCTGTCTACTAACTTTAGGAGCCTCAGAGTTTAAACTTGAATTCTGAAGCTATAAAACTACGATTCCTTTGATTTGGAAACATAAACTAGTAGAAGACAATTGTATTGGAAATTCTGGCAGAAATCCAGCCTTATTGAACAAAGTACCAATTACGCATCTCTGGCTTATCTACAGTTTTGTCCATGTGTTTGTATGGCATTGTGTCCATTCATAATAAAATATGCCAGTTTTACAGGGCACTAACTACTAAGAAAGGATGGATCCAGATGGGTTATCTGAATAAATGGCATGAGTGCTATTACCTTGGAAAAATGCCACCTCTCTGTGATAACTCTCATTGATAGGCTATGTTTTCTTAATTATTCCTGTGTTGTGTCATTGGCTACATATATAATCTTTCATCATGAGAAGAAAATACCACCTTGGATTTCATGATCTCTTCAGCGTGCTTCTCTCTGAAATACTAGAAAGTGCATGACCAAACTGTGAAAATAGAGTTGATATGTAAGAAATATTATTCATTTGAAGGAAAGCTAAACAGCATCTATAACAAAGGCAGAAGACAGTAATAAATAGCACGTAGTCCCCATACTCATACTACATTCTTCAGTGGCTTTTCATTTGGAAGAACAAGAGAGGTATTACCTTATATGTATACTATATAGGGACCTTATATTTATACTATTTGCATGAGTCTGGAATAAACTATAGCAGGAACACAAAAGGGAGGATGAACCTATTTCATTATAAGGATATGAGTACAATGGCCTGCTAACATGACAGTAATTTAGCATGAAAACATTACCCCCCCCTTTTTTCCTGTATGGAGTACATATCATAACTTTGCCTCTGTATGGCAAAATTGGCAGATAGACTTGTCACCAGCATTGATATAAATACAGTCTTAGTCATTGATGCTCAACTACCTACTCAGAAGATAGTGTAGTGAGGCTACTAAACACACAATTTTAGGTTTTGCAACTTAACCAGATGTTCCCTAAAATGTTGTAAACACATTATTGGTGTGGTTTTTATGAATAGACAACCTCAGAAGTGACATCAGCAAGATGGTGGAATAGGATTCAATTTGAACAATTGTCCACACATGAAAACACCTTCATAGGCGCTAAGGAATCCAGATGAGAGATTACAACACCTAGAGGAAACACATAAATAGGAAAAAAAATGCACTGAAAAGGGTAAGAAGAACAGTTTCAGATTACCCACATCACCTCTCCCCCAAGTCTAGGCAGCACAGCGTGGAGAGAGATACTCTCCTGTATTAGTCTGTTTTCATGTGGCTGATAAAGACATACCTGAGGTTGGGTAATTTATAAAGAAAAAGAGGTTTAATGGACTCACAGTTCCACATGGCTGGGGAGGCTTCACAATCATGGTGAAAGGCAAGGAGGAGCAAAGTCAAGTCTCACATGTTTGGCAGCAGGCAAAGAGAGAATAAGAACCAAGTAAAAGGGGCTTCCCCTTATAAAACCATCAGATCTTGTGACACTTATTAACTACCACGAGAACAGTATGGGGGAAACCGCCCTCATGATTCAATTATCTCCCACCCAGTTTCTCCCACAATACATGGGAATTATGGGAGCTACAATTCAAGATGAGATTCGGGTGGGGACACAGCCAAACCATATCATCTACCCATGGGGAAAGGAGAGTGAAGTAAGCATCCAATGTTACTGCAAACCTCAGCACTCGGCCTGTCCCAATAATACCCAGTAACAAGCCAGTCCCCATAGCCCCAGGCTCCAGGCTGGCTCCTGTGGCTCAAGGTTCTAGGCCTGACCTAGCCCAGGATGGTCTCCAAGCTCCAGGATCCAAGCTTACCCCAGGAGACCCAGGTTCCAGGCCTGCCTCAGGAGTAGGCCAACGCCTGCATACTCCAGCTCCAGGCTCACCCCTGTGGTGCCAGGCTCCAGGCCCACCTCAGTGCTAAGTTGGTCCTCTTGGCCTTAGGCTCCAGGCTGGCCACTACAGCTCCAGGGTCCAGGGCAGCACCTATGGACCCAGCTTACAGGCCTACCCCAGTGGGAGATGGCTTCCACGGGTCTAGATTATAGGCCAAACCCCATGGAAAAAGGCTGCAGGCGCCCCTCCATGAACCCAGGCTCCACACCTGTCACCATAAACTGTATAAACAGGCCCAACCTAGTGGATACATTAACAGGAGGAAAGATACAAATCATATGATTAACTCAATAGAGGCAGAAAAGGCATTTGATAAAATTCAATATCTGTTCATGAAAATACTCTCAATTAATTAGGTAGAGAAGAAATGTACTTCAATATAACAAAGGCCCTATATAACAAGCACACAGCCAACACCTTTCTCAATGGTGAAAACATGAAAGTTTTTCCTGTAATATCAGGAATGATTCAAAGAAACCTACTCTCAACACTCCTATTAACATGGTACTAGAAGTTCTAACCAGAGCAATTAGGCAAGAAAAAGAAATAAAAGACATCCAAATCAGAAAGGAAGATGTGAAATTGTCTCTGCTTGCAGATGACATGGTGTTATATACAGAAAACCATAAAGACTCAACCAAAAAAAAATTGGTAGAACTAAGTCAGCAAAGTTTCAGGATATAAAGTCAACATACAAAATCTGCTGCATTTCTACATCCAAACAATGAAGTATCCAAAAACAGTTAAGAAAATAATTCTATTTACCATAACATCAGAAAAGTAAAATACTTAGAAATAAGTTTAATTCAAAAGGTAAAAGGTCTATGCATTGAAAACTATTCAATTTTGATGAAATAAATAGAAGCAGACACAAATAAATGGAAAGATAACCTGTGTTGATGGATTGGAAGAATTCATATTATTAAAATATCTATACTACCCAAAGCTTTCCACAGATTCAATGCAATTCCTATAAAAATTCCAATGGCATTTTTCACAGCAATAGAAAAAATAATCCTAAAATGTATATGGAACTGCAAAAGATCCAAATAGCCAAGAATCCAAATAGCCAAAACAAATCTGAACAAACAGAACGAAGCTGGAGGCATCATACTTCCTGATTCAAAATATATTACAAAGCTATATTAATCAAAACAGTATGATAATGGCATTAAAAACAAATATATACATCACTGAAACAGAATAGAGAGCCCAGAAATAAATCCACACATTTAAAGTCAATTGATCTTTGACAAAGGGGTCAGGAACACGCAATGTGGAAAGGATAGTCTCTTCAATAAAGGGTGTTAGGACAACTAGGGATCCACTTTCAGAGGAATGAAATTAGACCCTTGCAACATATACAAAAATGAATTCAAAATGGATTAAAGACTTAAATGTAAGGCCCAAAACTACAAAATTACTAGAAGAAAACATAGTGAAAAAGATTCTTGGCATTGGTCTAGGCCCTGATTTTTTGGATGTGACCTCAAAATCACAAGCAACAAAAGCAAAAATAGAGAAATGCTATTGTGTCGAGCTAAAAAGCTTCTGCACAAAAGAAACAATTAGCAGAGTGAGGAGACAACCTATGGATTGGGAGAAAATATTTGCAAACCGTACATCCAATAAGGAGTTAATATCTGAAATATACAAGGAATTCAAACAACTCAACAAAAACAAAATCCCAATAACCTGATTTTAAAATGAGCAAGAGGTATGAATAGACATTTCTCAAAAGAAAACATATAAATGGCCAATAGTTATACAAAAAAATGCTTAACATTGCCAATCATCAGGGAAATGCAAAGCAGAACTACAATGGGCTATTACTTCACATCTGTTAGAATGTCTATTATCAAAAAGACAAGAGATAGGAAATGTTGGTGAGGATATAGAGAGGGGAAATCCTTATACACTGGTGGGGGTGGTAAATTGGTACATCCACTATAGAAAACAGTATGGAGGTTCTTTTAAAAAATAAAAATAGAACTACCATATGAACCAGCAACTGTACTTCTGAATATATATACTATATATATAGTATATATAATATATATTTTATATATTATATAATATATAAAATATATATAATATATATTTTACAATATATAAATATATAAATATACAATCAATATATAAATATAAATAAATATTAACTATAAATAAAAATAGAATATTAAACATAAATAAATATATAAATATTATAAAATTATATAAATTATAATATATATTTATATATTATATAATTCTATGATACATAAAATATAATTTATATATAAATTATAATATATATTTTATATATTATATATTATACATAATATATAATATATGTTAAATATATGATATATATTTTAAATATACTATATATATTTTATATATAATATATACTATATTTTATATATAGTATATATTATATATCTACTTTATATATAATATATATTATATATATTTTATATATAATATATAATACATCTTATATATTTTATGTAGTATATATTATACATTTTATACATAAAATATATTTTATACATTATATATTATATATTTTATATACAAAATATATTTTACACATTATGTTATATATTATATATAATATATATTTTATATATTATATATAATACATATTTTATATATTATATATGATATATATTATATATATTATATATGATATATATTATATATTATATATATTTTCTATATTATATATGTTATATAAAATATTTTATAAAACATATATTATATACCTTATATACATAATATATTTCATATTATATATTATATATTTCATATGTACAACATATTTTATATAATACATATTATATATTTCATATATTATATATTTTATATAATATATATTATACATTTTATATGTTATATATTTTATATATAAAATGTATTTTAAATAATATATATTACATATGTTATATATAAAATGTATTTTATATATATATTATATATTTTATATATAAAATGTATTTTATATAATATATATTATATATTTTATATATAAAATGTATTTTATATAATATATATTATATATTTTATATATAAAATGTATTTTATATAATATATATTATATATTTTATATATAAAATGTATTTTATATAATATATATTATATATTTTATATATAAAATGTATTTTATATAATATATATTATATATTTTGTATATAAAATGTATTTTATATAATATATATTATATATTTTATATATAAAATGTATTTTCTATAATGTATATATTATATATAATATATAAAATATATTTTCTATAATGTATATATTATATATAATATATAAAATGTATTTTCTATAATGTATATATTATATATAATATATAAAATATATTTTCTATAATAGATATTATATATAATATATAAAATATATTTTCTATAATAGATATTATATATAATATATAAAATATAATATATATAATAGATATATATAATATATAAAATATATTATATATAATAGATATTATATATAAAATATGTTATATATAAAAGATATTATATATAATATATAAAAGATATTATATATAATGGATATTATACATAATATATAAAATATATATAATGGATATTATACATAATATATAAAATATATATGATGGATATTCTACATAATATATAAAATATATTATGTATGATGGATATTCTACATAATATATAAAATATATTATGTATGATGGATATTCTACATAATATATAAAATATATTATATATGATGGATATTCTACATAATATATAAAATATATTATATATGATGGATATTCTACATAATATATAAAATATATTATATATGATGGATATTCTACATAATATATAAAATATATTATATATGATGGATATTCTACATAATATATAAAATATATTATATATGATGGATATTCTACATAATATATAAAATATATTATATATGATGCATATTCTACATAATATATAAAATATATTATATATGATGGATATTCTACATAATATATAAAATATATTATATATGATATATATTATATATGATGGATATTATACATAATATATAAAATATATTATATATGATGGATATTATACATAATATATAAAATATATTATATATAAAGCATATTATACATAATATATAAAATATATTATATATAATGGACATTATACATAATATATAAAATATATTATACATAATGGATATTATACATAATATATAAAATATATTATATATAATGGATATTATACATAATATACAAAATATATTATATATAATGGATATTATACATAATATATAAAATATATTATATATAATGGATATTATACATAATATATAAAATAAATTTTATATAATACATAATATATAAAATATATTTTATATAATAGATATTATATATAATATATAAAATATATACAATATTATATACAGTATCTATTATATATAATATATAAAATATATTATGTATATAAAATATAATACATAATATATTTTATGTATATTATATATGTTATATATTTTCTACATACTGTATACTATATAAGATATATTTTATATATATTATATACTACATAATATATATTTTATGTATATTATATATATTATATATAATTATAATTATACATTATATGTACATATATTATATATATTTTAGTATATATAATCATAATTTTACATTATATATACGTATATAATATATCTATTATATATAATTATAATTATATATTATAATATTATATATAATATATAATTATAATTATATATTATAATATAATATATATTATATAGAATTATAATTACATATTATAATATATAATATATATCATATATAATTATATATTATATATAATGTATATTATGTATAATTATAATTATATGATATATAATATATATATCATATAATTATAATTATATATTATAATATAATATATATTATATATAATTATAATTATATATTATAATATATATATTATATATAATTATAATTATATAATATATATAATTATAATTATATATATTATATGTTATATAATATATATAATTATAATTATATATATTATATGTTATATAATATATAATAGATAATAGATAATAGATAATAGATAATATATATAATATTATAATATATATAATATATATTATATATTATATCTACTTTATATATATTATATATTTTATATGTAATATATTTTACATATATTATATCTTTTATATACAGTTGTATATGTTACATATATATTTTTATATTTTACATATATTACATATATTTTATATACATTATATATTTATATATTATGTATTATATATTATATATTTATATACTATGTATTTCATATATTATATATTTATATATTGTGTATTTCATGTATTATATATTTATATATTATATATTTCATATATTAGATATTTATATATTATATATTTCATATATTATATACTTATATATTAAACATTTCATATGTTAGGTACTTATATATTATATATTTATATATTATATTTCACATATATTATATATTTATTTATATTATATATTTCATATATATTATATATTTATATATTATCTATTTCATATATATCATATATTTATATATTATATATTTCATATATAATATATTTTTAAATATTATATATTTCATATACATAATAAACTTATATATTATATATTTCATATACATTATATATTATATATTTCATATACATTATATATTATATATTTCATATACATTATACATTTTATATATGATATAGTTCATACATAGTATAATTATATATTATATAGTTCGTATATATTTTATATTTATATATTATATAATTTATATATATTTTATATTTATATATTATGTAATTACTATATATTTTATATTTATATATTATATATTTTATATTTATATACTATATATTTTACACATAGTTTATATTTATATATTATATATTTTATATATAATATATATATTATATATTTTATATATAACATATATATTACATATTTTATATATAATATATATATTATATATTTTATATATAATATATATTATATATTTAATATATAATATATATATTATATATTTAATATATAATATATATATCATATATTTTATATATAATATATATATTATATATTTTATATATAATATATATATTATATATAAAATATATAATATATATTATATATGTAATATATAATATATATTATATATGTAATATATAATATATATTATATATTAAATATATAATATATATATTATGTATTAAATATATAAAATATATTATATATTTTATATATGATATATATTATATATTTTATACATAATATATATTATATATTTTATATATAATATATATTATATATTTTATATATAATATATATTATATATTTTACATATAATATATATTATATATAAAATATATAATATATATTATATATCATATATTTTATATATAATATATATATATATATATATATATATTTTTTTTTTTTTTTTTTTTTTTGAGACGGAGTCTCCCTCTGTTGCCCAGGCTGGAGTGCAGTGGCGGGATCTCGGCTCATTGCAAGCTCCGCCTCCCGGGTTCACGCCATTCTCCTGCCTCAGCCTCCTAAGTAGCTGGGACTACAGGCGCCCACCACTACGCCCGGCTAGTTTTTTGTATTTTTAGTAGAGACGGGGTTTCACCGTTTTAGCCGGGATGGTCTCGATCTCCTGACCTCGTGATCCGCCCGCCTCGGCCTCCCAAAGTGCTGGGATTACAGGCGTGAGCCACCGCGCCCGGCCAATATATATATTATATATTATATAATAGATATAATATATTATATATTTTGTATATAACATATATCATGTTTTATTGTATATAAGATATATTTTATATACAATACATTATATATTATATATTTTACATATAACATATATTTATATTATATATAATATGTATTTTATATGTTATATATTTTATATAATATATATTTATATATTATGTATTTTATATTTACTTATATGTTAATATATGATATATGTAATACGTGTGTTATATATCATATAATATATGTTTTATGTATCACATAATGTTTTATGTATTATATAATACATGTTTTATAATATATGTTTTATATATTATATGTTTTATATATTATAGATTTTATATATTATATATTTTTATATACATTTTATATATATTCTAAATATAAAATTATATATAATATATATATTTCATGTAGATTATATATTTTATGTATTGTATATAATATATATTCATAGATCATATATTTATATATTTTATATATTATATATTATACATATTATATATTTATATATTCTATATATTATATATTATACATATTATATATTTATATATTCTATATATTACATATTATACATATTATATATTTATATATTCTATATATTCTATATTATATATTATGTATTATATATTTATATATTATATTGTATATTTTATATTTTATATATTATATATTTATATATTTTATATATTATATGTTATATATTTATATATTTTACGTATTATATATCATATATGTATATATCATATATATTTTATATATTTACATATGTTATATATATTTACGTATATATAAATATACAGTTTATATATATTATATACATTATATATAGTTTGTATATATTATATATTATATACATTTTATATATTATACATTATATATGTTTTATATATAATATATATATTATATATGTTTTATATATAATATATATATTATATATGTATATTTTGTATATATATTATGTATTTTTATATATTTATTTTATATATATAATATATTTTTATATATTTATTTTATATATATAATATATTTTTATATATTTATATATTTTATGTTTATAATATATTTATATATGATATATTTATATATTATATATTTATATATGATATATTTATATATCATATATTTATATATGATATATTTATATATTATATATTTATATATGATATATTTATATATTATATATTTATATATGATATATTTATATAATATATATTGATATATGATATATTTATATATTATATATTTATATATGATATATTTATATAATATATATTGATATATGATATATTTCTATATATCATATATTTTATATATAACATTTTTTACATATATTATATATTTTATATATTATATATTTAATATATATTGCATATTTTATATATAATATATTTAATATATATTATATATTTTATATATAATATATTTAATATATATTATATATTTTATATATAATATATAATATATATGATATATTTTATATATAATAGATATAATATATATCATATATTATATATAATATATCATATATATCATATCATATATGATATATATGATATATATTATATATATTAATTATATTATATCTTATATTTTATATATATATATAATATGTTTAATATATATTATATATATTGTATATTTTATATATAACATATCATATATATTATATATTTTATATATAACATATTATATATATCATATATTTTATGTATAACATATATATAATATATTTTATATATAATATATATCATATATAAAATGTATAATGTATATTATATATTACACATAAAATGTATAATATATATTTTACATATTATATATAAAATGTATCTAATATATATTATATACATTTTATGTGTAATATATATTATATGTAATATGTATCATATATTTCATATATAATGTATTGTATATGTAATATATATGTAATATGTATTATAAATTTTATATATAATGTATTTTATATGTAATATATATTATGTATTTTATATATAATATATATTATGTATTTCATATATAATATATATTATATATTTTATATATAATATATTGTGTATATAATACATATATATAATACATATATATTTATATATGTATTATATAATATATAATATACATTATATATTGTATATATTATATATTATATATTTTATATATAATATATAATATATATAATATATAAAATAATTTATATATAAAATATATATTTATATATAATATAATTAAAATATTAATATATATTTTGCATATAATACATATTATATAATATATATTATATATTTTATAGATTAGATACATATTATATATTATATATCATACATTATATATTATATAATGTATAATATACATTATATAATATGTAATATATTATATTTTATATATAATATATGTATAATATATATTTTTATGTATTATATTATATGTATATGATA
Source organism: Homo sapiens (assembly GCF_000001405.40). Lineage (NCBI taxonomy): Eukaryota > Metazoa > Chordata > Mammalia > Primates > Hominidae > Homo > Homo sapiens. The sequence continues at coordinate 26,180 of NW_021160029.1, read as the reverse complement.
TATTTTATATACTATATATTACATAACATATATTTTATATACTATATATTATATAATATATATTTGATATACTATATATTATATAATATATATTTTATGTACTATATATTATATAAGATATATTTTATATACTATATATTATATAAGATATATTTTATATACTATATATTATATAAGATATATTTTATATACTATATATTATATAAGATATATTTTATATACTATACATTATATATAATATATTTTATATACTATACATTACATATAATATACATTTTATATACTATATATTACATATAATATATATTTTATATACTATATATTATATATAATATATATGATATATAATATATATTTATATACTATATATTATATACAATATATATTTTATATGTGATATATATTTTATATATTATACATGTTTTTTATGTATTATAGATATATTTATGTATTATATATAATACATGTATTTTATGATATATTTTATATATATTATAGATGTATTTTATATATGATATATTTTGTATATATTATAGATGCATTTTATTTATAAGATATATTTTATATATATTATAGATGAATTTTAAATATAAGATACATTTTATGTATAGTAAAGATGTGTTTTATATATAAGATATATTTTATATGTATTATAGGTATATTTTATATATAATAGATATATTTTGTATATATTATAGATATATTTTATATATATAAAAATCAGTATCTGAAAGAGAAGTTTGCACTACCATGTTTATTATGGCATTATTCACAGTAGGCAGTATATGGAATCAATCGACAGATGCATGAATAAGGAAAATATGGCGTGAGTCATACACACACACACACACACACACACACAGTGGAATATTATTCAGCCTTAAAAATTAAATCTTGCAATTTGCGACAATATGGATGAACCTGGAAGATATGCCAAGTGAAGTAAGCCAGGCACAGAAAGACACATACTCTATGATCTGAGTTATAGGATGAATCTAAAAAAGTTGAGCTTAGAAAAGCAGACAGTAGCATGGTGGCTTTTAGGGACTGCATGGTGGGGGAAAGGTGGAAATGTTGATCAAAGAGAACAAAGTCACAGTTAGGCAGGATGAATAAATTCTGGAGAGCTAATGTACAGAATGCTGACCATAGCTAATAATACTGTATTGTATACTTGAAGTTTACTAAGAAGGTAGATCTTAAATGTTCTTACCACAGAAAATGGTAAATATTTGGCTTGATGATATGTCAATTTGATTGACTTTGATAATCATTTCACAATGTATACATATATCAAAACATCTCATTGTATACTATAAATAGATACAATTTTTATCTATCAGTTTTATCTCAATAGAGGTGAGAAAAATAGACAACTTTAGTGGTGAAATTTTTTCCCTAGTATATGTTAGTTCTCTTGGCTCTTCTCTCAGAATACTTCGTGGAATGAATGGAGATGATTGGCTGTGGCATGACTCCATTCTATCTCAAGTATGCTTCACTTGCTTGACAGTAGTGGCAAGCAAATGGTAATTCTCATTACCCAGTATTTGGACACTTTTCAGTCAAGCTGATCTACTTGACAATACTTCTAATATTCATTTAATTTTTCAACCAGTGTTCCTTGACTGTCTTCTATGAGCAAGACGGAATTGAGGTTATAAATCATGGTTGAGTCTGAAACACATGGGTTTTAGAATAAGAGAGATCTATGTTAAATTACCAGTTCATCTACTTACTTGCTGTTTTTCTTGAGCAATTTGCCTAAATTATTTGACTCTGTTTTCTCATTTATAAAACTAGAGATTAAAAATAACGACCTCACTGGATTTCTGAAAATATTTATACAGAAAATGTATAAGATAGCACATAGCAGAGTTTCTTTTTTTAATTTTAATTTATTTATTTTATTTCTTTTATTATACTTTTAGGGTACGTGTGCACAACATGCAGGTTAGTTACATATGTATACATGCGCCATGTTGGTGTGCTGCCCCCATTAACTCGTCATTTAACATTAGGTGTATCTCCTAATGATATCCCTCCCCCCTCCCCCCACCCCACAACAGCACATAGCAGAGTTTCTAACACAAAACAGACATTCAAAGAATATATAGTTCATTTCCTTCTTATGAAATTATCCACAATTTCATGCTAGACAAATTTTATTTAACAATTCTGATAAATTTGTTTAAACAAAATTATTTAAACGAATTTTTAAAAGTTTTAAATAGCATTATCTATTTACCAGTAATTGTGTAAAATATTATGCCCCATTCTAAAAAGAACATAAAAGAACTATATCTAACATTACACAGAACTCCTTAAAAATCAATGAGAAAAAGAAAACACACTAGACCAAAAAAGCCAATGGACATGAACAGTCAATTGAAATGAAAAAATCAAATAGGTTTCATAAACATATAAAGATTACTCAGCCGGCCAGCCGGGGTGGGTGGATCAGTTGAGGCCAGGAGTTCGAGACCAGCCTGGCCAACCCTGTCTCTACTAAAAATTAAAAAACTAGCCAGGCATTGTAACATGCACCTGTAATCTCAGCCATTTGGGAGTCTGAGGTATGAGAATTTCTTGAACCCGGGAAGCAGAGGTTGCAGTGAGCTGAGATTGTGCCTCTGCCCTCCAGCCTGGACAACAGAGTGAGGCTCTGTCTCAAAAAAAAAAAAAAAATTATCCAGCCCATCAAAGAATTAAAGAAAGATAAATGATTAATACAATAAGAGTAAGATATTATATTTTGCCTATAGAGTAGGCAAAGTCTGGTAGAACTTATTGTTGGTAAATATGTCAGGGAAAATGATCCTTATACATTTTGGGCAGGAGTATGAACTAGTATAGCTTCTTTGGAGCACAACTGGACAAAATCTATCTCATTGTAAAACATGTACACCTCTTTACTCAGATAATTTATTTCTGCAAGAGCAAACATTAGAGGCAATTACATGTCTAGCAAAAGAGGATTAATTAGATAAGATAAAAAGACACATAAAAGCTAGAGATAAATCGAAATCATGTTCTATTAATTTTTTAAATGATTATTAAACTTGTCTCTTTGGAATATAAATTCTGGTTAAGAGGTAACATTTTAAATGATCATATATTTCTATAAGAATTAATAAAAAATTGAAACCTACATAAATAAATTAGGAGTAAGCTTAAGAAAATATTTTTTTCTAGTATGGAAAAAAATTGTATTTTATGAAATATCCTCTGCCATGATTTTAATACTCTAATTTCCTTGCAACCTAATAACACAATGTAGCATCTGTAATTCTTACAGAGTGCCATCTCTGTTTCTGAAATTTAGAGGCACCTTCACCAAAATGCTTATATTCTTATAATCTACATTATTTATTCGAGCCAAGTTATGTCACCAAAATTAAATGAAACAAGATTACACTGGGGACATTAGAACACTGAAATTTCAGTCCATCCGAAATCAAAGAGTTGAAAAGATTACAAATCCAGTACAATTAAATACTTAGTTTCTTGTGATTCATTTCACAGTATGTGTTCATCTCTGTCAAATTTAGGTAGTAGGGTAACATACTTTCATCTTCTAAAACATAATACTGACTTAAAAGCAATTATATAAATGTCAAAAGATAAAAATGTGATTATACAAAATTAATTGCTTCTCATGGACACAGTTCTAAAAAGAAAATAGTTGTAGGATAGCTTTCAATTTTGTTTCCTGTAAGTATTTTTCCAGTTTACCTGATATTTGAAAAAATTCAGGTGATATGGTAAAAATTAAACGATAAACAAGCCTAGCTTTTAGCCCAACTCTGTTCTGAATAGTGCTGATGAGTGGGATTCTAGGAAGAGTAATATCTGAAAAAGCATTCTTAGGAAGTTTTACTGTTTTTGGTCAAAATATCCCATCCCCTGATATGAGGGATTAGACTTTAATAAAATTTTAGAGTAGGCAATATTTATTTTAAATGCTTTTGATAGTGTTCTTATGCCTTTCTATACATCTCTATCTCACATTCAGTGTTTTGAGTCCTCTGCTGTAATGTTCAATCAATCATTCTTTCCTACCTTATGTGTCATTGAGAAGAAATATTAAAAATAAATAAATATCCTTCATAATAACTAAGGTGCTGAGAACCTGATGTAGTCTGCTTCCCAAGATAAAAGGGAGATACAAAAGAGAAGGCAAAGTGTAACTAAAAAGCTATAATTACTTATAAATTATCATTATAATTGTGTATATTGTGCAAATTTAATTACCTCTGTAGTTGATTTGGTGAGGGCAGAAAATTCTTGTAAACTAGAACTTGTGTTGTGGTATTTGATTTCTTCAAATGATTTTTCTTAATCCATTGAAATTATCATGTTTTTTCACCCTTAAACCTGTAATATGGTGATTTGCATTGATTGATTTTCAAATAGTTAATCAATGTTGGATTCTTTAATAAAACATACACAGCCACAAATTCTGCACCCACCAAATTAACCACTGAGGTATTTAAAGGCCTTTATACATAAAGATGGTCCTTGTGTGTAAATAACAAGTAGAGTTGTATTTTCTTTTTCAAAATTTGTTTTTATGTTCTTGGTTCTTTGAATTTCTATGTAGAATTCAGAATAAGCTAATCAATTTTTATAAAAATTTATTCTAGAATTAGGGTTTAGAACTGTTTAGAATCTATAGATGATAGGGGAAGAATTGTCTTACCAATATTGAGACTTTTGATCCATGAACAAGATGAACAAGGTATACAGTCACATTTATTAATATCTGTAGTTTCTGTTATTCAATATTTTATCACTTTCAGCATAAAGGACTTGCATATAATTTTTTCAGTTGATTCTCAGGTGTCCTTTGTCAATGTGATTTTTGAATGGCATAACTTTTCATATTTAATTTTACATTTGTTTATTGACCTTGTATTCTTCTACTTGGCTAAATTCATTTATTAGTTCTTGTCATGGAGGTAGATTTGTTAGGATTATCTAATATAAAGAATCATGTAATATGTCTTTAGAGACAGTTTTACTTTCTCCTTTCTAGTGATTTTTAAATTTATTTCTTTTAGTTGCCAAAGGCCTTGTGAATGGCCGAGATCTCCAGGATGATGCTGGGTAGAGCATTCTTGCCTTGTTCTCCATCTTCAAGGGAAAATATGCACAATGTCATCATTAAGTATGATACCAGGTTTTCTGCATATGTTCTTTATCAAATTAAGGGTAATTTTCTGAAATGTTTTATTTCTTTTAGGAGTGGATATTGGAATTTTTCAAATGCTTTTTAAAAATTATTTGTATAGATTTATAGGGTACAAGTGCAGTTTTGTTACATGGATGTATTATTGCATAGTGGTGAAGTCTGGGCTTTTAGTGTAACCATCACCTGAATAGTGTACATTGTACCCAATAGGCAATTTGTCACCCTCACCCCCTTCCACCCTCTCATTTTCCGAGTCTCCAATGTCTATTATTCTGCTCTCTGTGTCTATGTGTACACACTATTTAGCTCCCACTTATAAGTAAGAACTTGTGGTATTTGACTTTCTTCAAATAACTTCTTCTTAGTCCATTGAAATTATCATTCTTTTCACCTTTAAAGCTATAATATGGTGATTTGCATTGATTGATTTTCAAGTATTTAGCCAACCTTGGATAAAATATACTCAGCCACAATGTGTTGTTCTTTTTATATATTGCTAGATTAAATTTGCTAATATTTTGTTAAAGCTCTTTGCATAAAAATTTAGGAGGAATATTCACCCGTAGTTTTATTCTGGTAATGCCTTTGATGAGTTTTGATGTTATGGTGGGCTCTTAAAAATGAATTAAGGAATTTCCTTACCTATATTTTTTAAAAGTATTTGTATAAGATTAATGTTACTTCTTCTTTTAAAGATTGATAAAATAAACCAGTTAAATTGTCTAGACCTGGAGTTTGGGGGTGGGGGGAGTTCAGTTTCTTTGATAGAAAAATGCTATTCAGGGCCAGGCGCAGTGGCTCACGCCTGTAATCCCAGCACTTTGGGAGGCCGAGGCGGGCAGATCACGAGGACAGGAGATCGAGACCATCGTGGCTAACATGGTGAAACCCCGTCTCTACTAAAAATATAAAAAATTAGCCGGGCGTAGTGGCGGGCACCTGTAGTCCCAGCTACTCGGGAGGCTGAGGCAGGAGAATGGCGTGAACCCGGGAGGTGGAGCTTGCAGTGAGCGGAGATCACACCACTGCACTCCAGCCTGGGCTACAGAGGGAGACTCCGTCTCAAAAAACAAAACAAAACAAAACAAAACAAATGCTATTCAGATTTTCTGTATCTTCTTGTGTCAGTTTAAGGAAATTGTAAGATCTGTATCCATAACTTCTCTTTCATTATGCTATTTTTTCCCTTTATCAGTCTAGTGAGAGAAATATATGCAGCTTGTTGGATAGTTTGTAGGACCTGTTATTGGTAAAGACCTCACTCAAAAATGGCTTCAAGTTATCTTCCATAGTGAATTAATGAGGATCCCCATGAGATGCATGAAGTCTCTAGGATACCTGAACAAAGCTACCAGATGTTGTGCCCCCTTTTTGTTTGCTGGAGTTTTTAAGGACAACAGTTTCTCTGTAAGAGACTCAGTGATTGTTCTCTGGGTATCAACTCACATGATTTCCAAGAAGTTTACTTGAGTAGCAGACCCCTGTGTCTTGTCAACATTACTCTTCCAGACCTGATTACTCAGATATTAAATCACTCTTCAGCTTAGGTATTGTCTCTTTTCCTTCTCTGATTTCTATTTTGTTGTGACATGCTCTTATTTTTAATTCCTTCCTTCTACTTACTTTGGATATATTTTGGTCTTCTTTATCTACTTATTAAGGTAGAACTTTAGGTTAAGGATCAATAAACTTTTCCTTTAAAGGTATATATATTAAATATTTCATGCTTTGAAGGCCATATGGCCTGTGTTGCAAATCTTCAACTCTGCCAATGTAGCACAAAAGTAGCCATAGACCATATATGTCCCAATTAAACTTCTTCTTTTTTTTTTTTTTACAACATAAGTGACAAGCCTGAATAAGCATGCAGGCCGTAATTTGCTAATCCCTGATTTAAGTTATTGCTTTGAGACCAGTCTTCTTTTCTAATATAAGTATTGAAATGTACATATTCCTCTGTAAACACTGCTTTAGTTACATTCCACAACTTTCAGTATTTGATATTTTAACAACCATTCATACAAAATATATTTTTTCTGTTTTCTCTTGTGATTTTTTTCTGTTTTCTCTTGTGATTTTTTATTTATGTGTCTCTTAGAAGAATATTGTCTAATTTCCAAATGTGCAATGTTTTCCTAGATATCTTATTGTTAGTGAGGTCTAATTTAGTTTCCTCGTGGTCAAAGAATGTACACAGGTGGCTTCAATCCTTTTAAATGTATTGAAACTTAATTTATGGCCCAGAATGTGTTCTATCTTGTTGAATGTAATATCTGCCCTTGAAAATAATGTACATTCTACATTCATGTTTTGTGGGGGAGAAAAACAGGAAAATAAGGTGCGTTCTACAATTGTTGGCTGTAGTGATCTATAAATATCAGTGAAGTCAAGGTGGTAGATAATATGATTCATATCATCTATGCCTTTACTGAGTTTTTGACTAGTTATTCTACCTATTTCTGAGCGAGGGTGTTAATATCTACAAATAATAACAACAACAATAATAAACCCCTCTAGCATTCTAAGAAGAGCTTTTCTTATAAAACAGTCTCAATATGCTTGCAAAGAAAGAAACCAAGATGGAAACAAAGGCCATTAAATCTAAGGTTGTGGGTTGACTGAAGGGTGAACAGAGCCCAGAGACAGAAGTAAATCTCAGATTTAACAGTCTAGATAATCTTTGACTCTGATTACCAACCTATTAATCCCTGAGGAAACCTCTATTTCCCCATTCCTCAAATATAGACTATTAAGGCAACAGGATGTACTTTACAGTCTGCCTTCCCCCGCTTCCCCCTATCCTGTATTCAAATGTGAATTATTCCCTAAGAGCATTGCAGACATTCCTACGAAGGGCAATGGACAAAGGAGATTTTCCCACAGAGTGAAAACAGGGAACATGAAGGACAATAGACAAATGGAAAGCCTCCTAAGTTACAAGTCCAATACTGTCTGATAAATTGATTCATTTCATTTGTCAGATATTGAGCCCTCAATATTCCTGTCCAAGGGAATGTGATATATGCCACAAATCAATGTGTTGTTTACCATTCTCTTTTCTGAATGGGAATTTTTATTCGTTATTCCAATCTTTTCCCACCATTGTACACTGTATGCACTGGGAGTGGATAAATTGTCATTTTTAGGATACGTCACTACACTCTGAGGTAGCTACCTCTGGACTTGATAATAAGAATAGTACATAATCCAGAGATCCTGGACTTGGTTCTGGTTTCAGTAACTGTATGAGATATTGGGATAGTTTCCCTTGGAGGGTGATGTGAGTTTGATTCATGCACATTTTAATTCATGCACATGTAATCTTATTAAGGCAATGTGAAGCAGGTTTATCCACAGAGAAGATAGTCTCTGATGGAAAGAGAGTTGGCTAGAATCTTAAGTCTCACAGTGACCATAGACATCATACCATACTGCCTTGGGGCATATGCAGCAGAATGTGGCTAATTCAGACAAATATACTTTATTTCTACCCATGGCTTTATCCACAAAGCTCTATCAGGTATAATCCTGGTGAACTGGCCTGGACAACATGTGAGTTCAAAAGTTTCCTTTGGCCTTCCAGATAAGGGCCTGGATGAGAGGCAGCCTAAAACCAGCCACTTGGTCATTTTCCCCACAGTCATTTCCTTTGCCTTGATACAGAGTGTCAGAAAATTGACAGCAAGAGGATGCACAGGAAAGGGAGTGCACAGAACATGAGCTCATTTTCCTAAACACTAGAGTTTACTCATATCTGTTCTTTTCTCTGGATCCAACATCCTGTTCCACCAGGTAAAGATGAGTAAAGTGCTTCTAAAACAGGAGGCAGATGGGTCTATCTTACGCCATCAGATATAAGAACAACCAGACCTTATGGGGAAACAGCATTAAGAATTTCGTAACAGTCAAAAAAACAGGACAGCTTCTTTCACATTCCCTCTCTTGCTGAAACCACAGTATCTTTTGGCACTTCTTTCAGCCTGTCTCTCTCTTTCTCTGTCTCTCCTTACCAATCATGCTTTCTGTATTCTACTTAAACACTGTCATTGTCATTTCATCCCCAACTTTACATACATTACAAATTAAATGCCTGATGCTCACTGATCTACTCTCTCCAGATACAAATTCCAAATTCCAAAACAGAGGATCTAATTGGGATAGATAAGACTTGGGATAGCTCCTCCTGGGTGAAAGGTCAGTGCATGTCTGAACATGTTTCTCTATAAAGACCACTCTTTGTAAGCACAAAAAGTTACCCAAAAAGAGACTCTTAAAGATTACTACTGTGTAACTCTGATCATCATCAATTATCAGAGTGGCTTCTTCTTGCAAATCAAATGAAGATCGTGAGCGGAATGAGGCTTTGCAGATATTAGAGTATTCCGCTAAAACATGGATCACATTTAAGTCATTAGCAGTCTTCATTTCAATTTGCTTATCAAATTAGCCCTAAAAGAAAATGAGTCTGTTAAGAATGAAATGTAGTTCCAGATAGTTTTGATACAAAACAAAGGAAAAGTAAGTTTCCAAATCATGTGTTACTGCCAAGAAAGGTTTTGGTCAGATGGGTTCTTATCTCATCTACACGCATGCCTTCACATCACTAGCACACTTACTTCTAAAGCTGTATTTCTAAAAAAGTTCTCTCGCCGGGCACGGTGGCTCACGCCTGTAATCCCAGCACTTTGGGAGGCCGAGACGGGAGGATCACGAGGTCAGAAGATCGAGACCATCCTGACTAACAGGGTGAAACCCCGTCTCTACTAAAAATACAAAAAATTAGCAGGGTGTGGTAGTGGGTGCCTGTAGTCCCAGCTACTCCAGAGGCTGAGGCAGGAGAATGGCGTGAACCCGGGAGGTGGAGCTTGCAGTCAGCCAAGATCGTGCCACTGCATTCCAGCCTGGGCGACAGAGCGAGACTCCGTCTCAAAAAAAAGAAAAGTTCTCTCATGAGATGATTTTCTTGTGTATCTATAACCCCCAAGAGGCCAGCCACGGGGAGAGGTGACAGCGTGCTGGCAGTCCTCACAGCCCTCGCTCGCTCTAGGCGCCTCCTCTGCCTGGGCTCCCACTTTGGCGGCACTTGAGGAGCCCTTCAGCCCACCGCTGCACTGTGGAAGCCCCTTTCTGGGCTGGCCAAGGCCGGAGCCGGCTCCCTCAGCTTGCGGGGAGGTGTGGAGGGAGAGGCACGAGCGGGAACCGGGGCTGCGCGCGGCGCTTGCGGGCCAGCTGGAGTTCCGGGTGGGCGTGGGCTTGGCGGGCCCCGCACTGGGAGCAGCCGGCCGGCCCTGCCGCCCTGGTCAATGAGGGGCTTAGCACCCGGGCCAGCGGCTGCGGAGAGTGTACTGGGTCCCCCAGCAGTGCCAGCCCACCGGCGCTGCGCTCGATTTCTCGCCGGGCCTTAGCTGCCTTCCCGCAGGGCAGGGCTCGGGACCTGCAGCCCGCCATGCCTGAGCCTCCCACACCCTCCGTGGGCTCCTGTGCCACCCAAGCCTCCCCGATGAGCGCCGCTTCCTGCTCCACGGTGCCCAGTCCCATCGACCACCCAAAGGCTGAGGAGTGCGGGCGCACGGTGCGGGACTGGCAGGAAGCTCCACCTGCAGCCCCGGTGCCGGATCCACTGGGTGAAGCCAGCTGGGCTCCTGGGTCTGGTGGGGACTTGGAGAACCTTTATGTCTAGCTAAGGGATTGTAAATACACCAATCAGCACTCTGTATCTAGCTCAAGATTTGTAAACACACCAATAAGCACCCTGTATCTAGCTCAAGGTTTGTAAACACACCAATCAGCACCCTGTATCTAGCTCAAGGTTTGTAAACACACCAATCAGCACCCTGTATCTAGCTCAGGGTTTGTGAATGCACCAATAGACACTCTGTATCTAGCTAATCTGGTGGGGACCTGGAGAACCTTTGTGTCTAGCTCAGGGATTGTAAATGCACCAACCAGTGCCCTGTCTAAACAGACCACTGGGCTCTACCAATCAGCAGGATGTGGGTGGGGCCAGATAAGAGAATAAAAGCAGGCTGCCGGAGCCAGCAGTGGCAACGCTCCGGTCCCCTTCCATGCTGTGAAGGGTTTGTTCTTTTGCTCTTTGCAATAAATCTTGCTACTGCTCACTCTTTGGGTCCACACTGCTTTTATGAGCTGTAACACTCACCACGAAGGTCTGCAGCTTCACTCCGGAAGCCAGCGAGCCCACGAGCCCACAGGGAGGAACAAACAACTCCAGACGCGCCGCCTTAAGAGCTGTAACACTCACCGGGAAGGTCTGCAGCTTCACTCCCGAAGCCAGCGAGCCCACGAGCCCACAGGGAGGAACGAACAACTCCAGACGCGCAGCCTTAAGAACTGTAACACTCACCGCGAAGGTCTGCAGCTTCACTCCTGAAGCCAGCGAGCCCATGAGCCCACCAGAAGGAAGAAACTCCAGACACATCCGAACATCAGAAGGAACAAACTCCGGACACGCCGCCTTTAAGAACTGTAACACTCACCGCAAGGGTCCGCGGCTTCATTCTTGAAGTCAGTTAGACCAAGAACCCACCAATTCTGGACACAACGGTGGCCCATAACTGTAATCCCAGGACTTTGGGAGGCTGAGGTGGGAAGATTACTTGAGCCCAGGAGTTTAAGACCAGCCTAGGCAACACAGTGGATCCCCAACTCTACAAAAACTTAAAAAGTTAGCTGAGCGTGGTGGTCCATGCCTGTGGTCCCAGCTACTCAGGAGGCTGAGGTGGAAGGATCACTTGAACCCAGGAGGTCAAGGCTGCAGCGAGTCATATTCATGCCACTGTTCTCTAGCCTGGGTGACAGAGTGAGACCTGGTCTCAAAAATAAATAAATAAGTAAATAATAAGTAAATAAAACATACCCCACCCCAGCCCGCCGAATAGACTACAACTATTTGACAGAAGAGGATAGGAATTATTTACTTGCCTATTGTAAGCGTCTTCCTGGATTATAGTAGATAAGCCATTTTACTACATGAATGAATTAATTGAAAGCTTAGACGGCTTGAGGACGATGGGAGAAGAAGAAACCAGGAAAAAGGCAAGAATGGAGGTAAGGTTTGAAGTGATGCAAAAATATTGATATAGTTTAGCTGTGTGTCCCCACCCAAATCTCATGTTGAATCCCCAGTGTTGGTGGAGAGGCGTGGTGGGAGGTGACTGAATCATGGAGGTGGGTATTCCCCTTGCTGTTCTCATGATAGTGAATGAGTTCTCCCAAGATCTGGTTGTTCGAAAATGTATATCACTTCCCCTTTTGCTCTCTCTCTCTCCTACCCTGCCTTGGTAAGACATGCCTGCTTCCCCTTCACCTTCTGCCATGATTTTAAGTTTCTCGAGGCCTCTCCAGCCATGCTTCCTGTACAGCCTGCAGAACTGTGAGTCAATTAAACTTTTTTTTTTTTTTGAGATGGAGTCTATCTTTGTCACCAGGCTGGAGTGCAGGGGCATGACCTTGGCTCACTGAAACCTTCGCCTCCCAGGTTCTATCAGTTCTCCTGCCTCAGCCTAGCTGGGCTTACAGGCACACACCACCACACCCAGCTAATTTTTGTATTTTTAGTAGAGACGGGGTTTCACCATGTTGGCCAGGATGGTCTCGATCTCCTGACCTCGTGATCCACCCACCTCGGCCTCCCAAAGTGCTGGGATCACAGGCGTGAGCCACCACTCCCGGCTAAACTTCTTTTCTTCATAAATTACCCATTCTTAGGTATGTCTTTGTAGCAAAGTGAGAATGGAATAATACAACCATCAATTTTGCTTACTTGATATTTGGCCAAAGATTGACTTTGGGAGTGAGAAGAAGAAAACTAGCTTGAAAAGGTGTGTAGTTTTTGCTCAATGGAGCCAACAACCATGGCTCTGATCCTATGTCATTCTGGCATCTACCATCCCTTTAGGTTTTTGAAGTTATCTTTTAGTATCTGATAATTTCCATTTAAATATTTTGCCTTCATCTTAGTTGTCTGTCTTCCAACAAAAGTTGGAGTTGTGAGTTTAGCTGCATATATATGCTCAAATGTTAGTCTATTCCCTGAGAAAACAAATAAAATACTTAGAAATATAGTTCATATTTAGTCAGTTGCCTTACTTTTTAAAAAATATTCTTTTTTTTTTTTTTTTGACAGAGTCTCACTCTGTCACCCAGGCTGGAGTGCAGTGGCACAATCTCGGCTCACCACAACCTCTGCCTCCCGAGTTCAAACAATTCTCCTGCCTCAGCCTCCCGAGTAGCTGGGATTACAGGTACGTGCCACTGTGCCAGGCTAATTTTTGTATTTTTAGTAGAGACGGGGTTTCACCTTGCTGGCAAGGCTGGTCTTGAACTCCTGACCTGAGGTGATCCGCCCACCTTGGCCTCCCAAAGTTCTGGGATTACAGGCGTGAGCCACCGTGCCTGGCCTAAAAAATATTCTTTTAAAAGAAGCAGCATAGTTTAACAACTCATTACATGAAAGTGATATTTATGGTAAAATAAGATTTACATGAAGCCTATTTACAGTCACTGCTTAAACAAATCTCAGCTTTCCTTTCCCCTTTTAAATTTGTATTCACTCTTACATACATATATAATCCTTTAAATCGTTTGAGGATAAACACTCAAACATTACACATAAGGCTGAAGTCCTCTCTGACGACTTGGATTTCGTTTCTATTGTAAGGATAACCAGTTTCTATTACTTAGGCTGTGACTTGTTACTATGGCTCCACTGCTTATTTTGCTTCCTCTGAGTGAAGGTCCCTGACAACCAGGCCCCTCTCTCGATAATCCCACAACTTCCTCTCCCTGCAGTCTGCCTTTGGCAACTTGTGTGAAACAGACTTGTGTGGCTCAAACTAGCCTGATCCTGCATGTACTATTCCCTTTGCGAGTCATTCTTTTCCTCCTCTTCACTACCTGGTGTACTCCAGTTCTTCTTTCCCTGCTGTGACCAAATGTCACATCAGATCTAAATTCTTCCCTGTGCCTGAAAACTGTTTTGTGTAATAAAGAGCCCTGGAGAAATTAAGCCCATGAGATCTGGAGCTACATTTCTTGGTTAGGATTCTGGATTTTGTCTCTTACTAGCTACCTTAGACCAGTTACTTAATCTCGTTGAGTCTCAGTTCCCTTGTTTGTGAAATGAGTATATAAGCAGGTATTAATACCTACTTCAAAATGCTGTTAGTGGGATTAAATGAGTTAACAGATGGGAAAAACTGAGATCATGCTGCCTAGAAGATAGTGAGGGTTTGGTAACTGTTGTGATTATGGATATTTTAGCATCTGTAATTAGAATACTCTTCATATTTTATGATAACCTTTTCCTGTCTGCCTATCTTCTCCAATCCTCAAGGGCTGCACCATGTCATCATTTACTTTGTTTCATCCCCACTTCACCTTGCATCTGCCCCAAACTCCAAAGTCTACACAGTAAGTACAATGCCAGCCACTTAGCAGGTGCTCCATCTAGAAGAAAGTATGGCATAGTGTCAAGCACCTTAGTAACAGAAAGCTTCAATCTGGAATATTACACAGAGTACTTTTAGGGGACTCTCCATTGTAGCTCTCAGCCTCCAGGCTATCTTGCTTTCTCTTTCCCTTGGAACCAAATTTAAAAAGAGACTTTGACTTTCTATCTGGCCTCCTGATGCAGCAAGTGGTGTTGAGTCTACAGCATACCTCAGGAGGAGGTTTCTTTGCCCCCTACCACTCCGCTTCTCTTCATTCCTTGCATCTCACTCTCTCATTCCCTACAATTCCACCTTATTGATCACTTTTTACCATAGAAAGGCTTCCTATAGAAGCAGCCTTCTAAGCAATGTCGACAAAGTGCCTCAGACCTCTGGCCCCAATTGATTCTGGTTTAAAGGTCTATGCTTTCATTCTTTCTTTCCCTCACTAAAATTTTGAAAACAATTGAGAAAAAAAAAACAGCTTTTCTGACAGTTTCTAACAGTTTGCAGCATGCTTGCCTCACAGCCTTGTATCGAGCCTTGTAGCTTTTAAGCCAAAGGAATGACATTTTAAAAGTTTCTCTTATTGGTGTATTCCAATCAAGTTAATTGTGTTCTATAAGAATTTTAAAAAGTAAAAATGTACCTGCAAGAGTCACAATTAAGGTAAAGAGATGTATTTCATTAAATGCTACTATTAAATGATATCAGTGAACATCCATATCGTACATTACTTTGTCACTCCTTATCAACATGAATACATCTTCCTGGCTTTGGGTGAAACCACTGGAAAAGTTCTTCTGGCAGTGTACAGGGATATTTATGAGAAATGTTCAGAAAAATGAACCTAGTTAATATTTAATGAAGTACATGTTACTGTAATGTTACCATAAAATTAGCTTAGCTTACAAGAAAATGTTATAAAATGAATCTTCTTTTATGCTGGCCAATAATTTAAATAATATACTTTATTAAAAGAGCCAAGCAATGTTTTTAACTATATTATATACCAACTCCCAATCCAGAAAACTGCTATTGCTCTTTTATTTTCTGCTTTAGTATTTCCATTCACTGTAAAATATTTTTTGAAAAGAATTTTGGAAGAGTTAATAAAGCACTTAGCAGAATAAGAAGCAGAAGGATTATTTAGTTTCAGAGCAAACCCCTGGCAGTTTTGAGTGTTAATAGTGGTTCTCATTTAAGCTTTTACAGGAACATACATTTTGACCTTTTTCAACTCTCCTGACTTCTAGAAGAATGAAGTGTTTATCTCAGAAACTATTGAGACTATTTTAGGATCTCAGTCGTTCAGGAAACTAGCTGTGCAAACTTTTTAACAGATAAAAACAAAAGAGCACCGCATTGGGCTGGAAGTAGGATCTGAATTTTATCTGCTAAATAATGGGGGTCATGTCACTTAATCTCACCAAAAATGAGGATAACAAAGCATTATATTGTTCACACAGGATTGTTGTCTCAAATGAAGAAAAACAGATGTATAAATATTGTGAAAAAGAAAGTAGTTTAAGAAATATTACTTTTATTATTTATATTATTTCAAATCACACCATTATTACTGCTTTTTATTTTTTATTTTTTATTTTTTTAAGACAGAATCTCGCTCTGTCGCCCAGGCTGGAGTGCAGTGGCACAATCTTGGCTCACTGCAACCTCTGCACTACAACCTCTGCCTCCTGGGCTCAAGCAATTCTCCTGCCTCAGCATCCTGAGTAACTGGTATTACAGGCATGCACCACCAAGTCCGGCTAATTTTTGTACTTTTAGCAGAGACGGGGTTTCACCATGTTGGCCAGGCTGGTCTCGAACTCCTGATCTCAAGTGATCCGCTCACCTTGGCATCCCAAAGTGCTGGGATTACAGGTGTGAGCCACCACGCCAGGCCTATTACTGGTTTTTAAAGATGACAGGGTTGGCATGTGTCCAATTCTATGAATAAGTTCCTTCAAAAAAATTTTTTTTTTTTTGAGACGGAGTCTTCCTCTGTCGCCCAGGCTGGAGTGCAGTGGCGAGATCTCGGCTCACTGCAAGCTCCACCTCCCGAGTTCACACCATTCTCCTGCCTCAGCCTCCCAAGTAGCTGGGACTACAGGCGCCTGCCACCACGCCGGGCTAATTTCTTGTATTTTTAGTAGAGACGGGGTTTCACCGTGTTAGCCAGGATGGTCTTGATCTTCTGACCTCGTGATCCGCCCACCTCGGCCTCCCAAAGTGCTGGGATTAGAGGCTTGAGCCACCTCGCCCAGCCGAAAAATTTTTATAAGCAGAAATTTATTTTAAGAGTTGATGCGTACTGATATAAGACAATGTTGGCATTCCTCAAATGAAAGATTGTTTTTGCAAATATTGGTAGTGTCCTGTAGTTACAGGCGAGTTGGGGTTTTATATCCCCTCCCCTACAAATCTGTCAGGAGTGCTCCTCTCCATCCTAGGCCTTTCAGCTGGTACCTTATGTGAAAGAGTCACTGAAAGGCAGACACAATGGTGTTCTGACGCAGGATTAGAAAACAATGGGGCTGCAGACCTTGAGCACTGCACAAATGGTCCAACAGTGCCTTGTTAGATTCTAATACCTTGTTCACGCAAGGACAATGGGACTTGTACAAATTTGCATAATCAGTTACCTATTTTGAACATGGTGCATTTTACCAGTGGAAAAATATTTCCAGTATCTCTTATGCTTAATTAATAAATTCTTTTATGTAGATTTCAATGATGATATTTGAGGTGCCAAGTAATCACTTCTCAGTGTTGTCTCCTAATTAGAGTACCTCTAAGATACAGAGTTTTTGCATATTCTCATATTACATGATTTATATTAATATTCTTAATGTAAATTCCAATACAAACTGTACAGCAAGATTGTCATTTGTCATTATATGAAAATGTACAATACTCTAAGTACTATTATCAAGGTCTCATATGTGTTTTTATTTTTTAAAAAAGTTCTTTAAAGAATACTTAGGACAATTTAAGACACAAACATCATTCATTTTAATAAACATTTCTTGAGCACTTACTATGTACCAAGCACTATGCTAGGTCCTGGGGTGTTAAAAACTAGGCATGATTTAAGTTCTCACAGCCTGTAAGGAAACAGATATTAAACAAATAAATACCAAAAGTACTTTTCACCATAGAAAGTGTAGTTGGTTCCATACCTTGGCTATTGTGACTAATGCTATAATAAACAGGAGTGCAGGTATCTTTTTGGTATACTGATTCCATTTCCTTTGGATATATGCCCAGTAGTGGGATTGCTGGATTGCATGGTAGTTTTATTTTTAATTCTTTGAGGAACCTCCATATTGTTTTTCATAATGGCTGTATTAATTTACAGTCCCACCAACAGTGTGTAAGGATTACTTTTTCTCCACATCTCGTGAATACTTGTTATTTTTTTCATTTTTTGATAGTAACCATTCTGATAATGAGGTTATATCTGATTATAATTTTGATTTGTATTTCCTTGATCATTAGGAATGTTGAGCATTTTTCACATATCTGTTGTCCATTTGTATGTCTTCTTCTGAGAAATGTTTATTCAGATCTTTTGTTCATTTTTAATCAGTTTTTTAAAAAAATATTGAGTTATTTTTGTTCCTTATATATTTTGGTTATTAACCCCGTATCAGGTATATAGTTTGCAAATATATTCTCCCATTCTGTGGGTTGTCTTTTTAAGCTCTGTTGATTGTTTTCTTAGTTGTGCAGAAGCTGTTTAACCTGATGTGATCCTATTTGTCCATTTTTGCTTTGATTACCTTTGCTTTTGAGGTTTTATCTAAAAAATCTTTGTCTAGACCACTGTCATGAAGCTTTTCCCCTATATTTTCTTCTAGTAGTTTCGGGTGTTACATTTTAAGTCTTTAATCTGTTTTGAGATAATATTTGCTTATGGTGAGAGAGAAAGCTCTAATATCATTCTTTCTCATGTGGATATCCAGTTTTCTCAGCATTGTTATTGAAGAGGCTGTCCTTTCCTTAATGTGTGTTCTTGGCACCTTGTCAAAAATCGGTTAGCTATAGATGTGTGAATTTATTTCTTGGCTCTCTATTCTATTTCATTGGTCTATGTGTCTATTTTTATGCCAGTCCAATGCTGTTTTGCTTACTCTAGGTTTGTAGTATGTTTTGAACTCAAGTAGCGTGATGCCACCAGCTTTATTCTTTTTGCTCAAGTTTGCTTTGGCTATCCAGGGTCTTCTGTGGTTTCGTACAAATTTTAGGATTGCATTTTGTCTTCCTGTAAATAATGTCATTGGTATTTTGATAAGGATTGCACTGAATCTGTATCTCACTTTAGATGCCCTGATCATTTTAACGATATTAGTTATTTCAATTCCTGAACATGTGATATCTTTCTATTTTCTGTGTGTGTTTTCCTCAGTTTCTTTCATCAATGTTTTATAACTTTCATTGTTAAGTGTATTCCTAGGTATTTTAATTGTTTTCATATTTTTGTAAATGGGATTACTTTCTTGATTTTTTTTCCAGATAATTTGCTAGTGGTATATAGAAGTGCTACTTATTTTTGTGTATTGATTTTGTATCCTGCAACCTTACTTTTATTCTAATGTTTTTTGGGAGAATCTTTGGGTTTTATATATATATGTATATTATAAGCACATATACATATATTTATATTATAAGCACATATATGTATATTTGTTTATAGATATATATTCTAAATAATGTCATGATATTACAGATGTGTGTATATGTGTGTCTGTAATATATAATATGTATATCTATATACATACATATACACACATATATGCGTAATATTGTAAGACACTAGAAAAAGCCTATGGGAGGAGTTATAAATAATTCATCTTATAAATTAGAATTGCAAGTACTGTATTATACTAGTTAATTTCTTTCCCTTTTGTATGTGTATATATATGTTTATATGTACACGTACGTGTACACATATGTTTATATGTACACGTACGTGTACACATATGTTTATATGTACACGTACGTGTGTACACATGTTTATATGTACACGTACGTGTGTACACATGTTTATATGTACACGTACGTGTGTACACATGTTTATATGTACACGTACGTGTGTGCGTATAGGTTTATATGTACACGTACGTGTGTGCGTATAGGTTTATGTGTACACGTACGTGTGTGCGTATAGGTTTATGTGTACACGTACGTGTGTGCGTATAGGTTTATGTGTACACGTACGTGTGTGCGTATAGGTTTATGTGTACACGTACGTGTGTGCGTATAGGTTTATGTGTACACGTACGTGTGTGCGTATAGGTTTATGTGTACACGTACGTGTGTGCGTATAGGTTTATGTGTACACGTACGTGTGTGCGTATAGGTTTATGTGTACACGTACGTGTGTATATATGTATATATATGATGTCATTAACAAACAGGGACGATTTGACTTTATTTTTTCCAGTTTGGATGCCCTTTATTTCTCTCTCTTGCCTGATTACTCTGGCTAGGACTTCCAGTACTATATTCAATAAAAACGGTGAAAGAAGACATTCTTGTCTGGTTTCAGATTTTAAAAGAAAGCTTTCAGCTTTTCCCAGTTCATTGTGATGTTAGCTGTGGGTTTGTAATTCATGGCCTTTATTATGTTGAAGTACAGTCCTTCTATACCTAATTTCTTAGGAGCTTTTATCGTGAAGAAATGTTGAATTTTATCAAATATTTTTCTGCCAAATATCCATCAATGGATTAAGACATTAACAAGAATGAAATACTGTCATTTGTGGCAATATGGATGGACCTGGAAGACCTTAGGTTAAGGGAAATAAGCTAGACACAAAAAAGGTAAATACTGCATGAACTCACTCATATGTGGGTATAAAAAGTCATTCTCATGAAAGTAGAAAGTAGAATAGTGGTACCAGAAGATGGAGAGAGTGGATGGGCTGAGGGATTGAAAGACATCGATCAATAAGTATAAAGCTACAATTAGATAAGAGGAGTAAGTTCTGATGTTCTATTGCATGGTAGAAGGCTGGAGTTAATATATATTTCAAAATAGGTAGAAGAGAGGTTTCCAAATGTTCTCATTAAAAGTAAATAATAAATGTTTAAAGTGATGAATATGCCAATTACCCTGATTTGATCATTACACAATGTATACATGTACAGATTGAGTATCCCTTATCTAAAATGCTTAGGACCAGAAGTATTTCAGATTTCAGAGTTTTTCAGATTTTGGGAATATTTGCATTGTACTGGTTGAGCATTCCAAATCCCCAAATCCAAAATCTGAAATGTTCCAATGAGCATTTCCTTTGAGCATCATACTGGTGCTCAAAAAGATTCAGATTTTGGAACATTTTGAATTTCTGATTTTTAGATTTAGTATCCTCAACCTATATCAAAACATAACATTGTAGCCTATAAATATGTACAATTATTATGTGTCAATCATAAATTTTTTAAAATACAATGTGAGTTTGCTACAAAAAATAAAATAGAATGTTATGAGAACCTTTAAAATATCATAAGACATCATTTAGCAAAAGCCTGTGGGAGGAGATGGAAATTATTTGTCTTATGAACTAGAATTGCAAATATTGAATTATAGTAGTTAATTTCTTTCCCTTTTAATGTTTTTACATTACAAGATGAAGATAAAGAGCAGAAACACTTTTAACTGGGAAAATAACTTTTTATGCCATTGAATAGTTTGGCTGACTGAAACTATAAAGTGGTTTAAGAACTGAGTGTCACAGAAATTAAAGGCACCTCTGTTGAGTCAATAAGTCAATACATTACTTCTGTTCCCTTGAGGAAACTAACTTGCTACACGCACAATTCAAGATGCAATAACATTTTTCAGCAGCTAGTAAGGAAAATAACCCTGGCAAAAATAAAAGTTTAGGGTTTTAAATTATTTTTTTCCTGATTTTTTTTCAGTATAGTCTATTATAAATTTAAGCAGAAAACATCAATAGACTTCAATTATACTACGAAGAATAATCTTAAAGGCTAGATGGAGTAAATTCTGGTTTTGCTGACACTGATTCCTTCACCCATTTAATGGTTTTTATTAATTGATTTGAATTTCCTATTGCCATTACTGAGTACATTTTAAGTTTGATGCTTCATTGCAGTCTTAGAGTTCTGTTAATTTTTATATGCATTTTATTGAGATTATATATTACATACTCTTAATTATAAATATTTTGAGTGCTTTTTTTACATTTAGTTGTTGAAATACAATATAAGAAATATGAAGTTTACCAATTAACAGAAAGATGTTACATAGTATCTATTCATTTTACTTTTCCATAAGATGCTGAATAAGTAAATAATGCAATTCTCAAGAAAGAAGCGATATTCAAGTTATTCTTAAGGTCTTCAATTTAAGTACTAAAATGTCTTTTCATACACTTAATATTTAACCTTCCAAGATTCTAGCAAACAATATTAAAATCAGCAAAATGCATAGAAAGAAAAAACTAGCAATTATATTGTGATTAATTTTGAACCTCTTTTTATCATTTTTCTATCAACTAACATTGTAAACTCTCATCGTAACAAAAATACATTGAAAATTATGATGGAAATGAAAATATTTAAGATATCAGTCCAGACATCCAGACATAGATGGATACAGATACATAAACAGGACACATACACACACACACACACACACACACACACACACACACACATTCAAGGACATCATTGTTTGGTATCTTTCCTTAATATCTAAGATGACACCACTGCAGTATAGACATCAAAATTCTCATTGTCACTATGTTTTGACAGATACGATCATTCAGCAAACTTGGTAGCTCAAAGAACCTGCACAAGCCCTTTGTCTTTCTGATTCCTTGATTTATTTAACAACATTTCTTGAGTGCTAACCAGGTCCCAGGCACTGTTGCAGGTGTTGGGGCTAGAACAGCTTCTTCTTTCATGGTGTTTATATTCTAGTGGAATTTTTGGTCTCACAGACACACACACACACACACACACACACACACAGGATAGATACATAGATAAATTATGTATACATAGTTTATTTTCAGCAGTTTGACAATGATGTGGTAGATAGATGATAGATAGATAGATAGAGGTTCACACACACACACACACACACACACACACACACACACACAGATGTTGATTGTTCTATTGCCTGATTTTTTTTCCCCTGTAGCCACCAGAATTGTTGATAAAATTATTGAGCTGGAAACGAAAGCTGCTAACTACTCTCATATTCTAAAGAAAATCATCTTTCTGGCCTCAAATTTGGGACCAGACTCCTTCTTGTAGGATTTTCTAAGAAGGTATTAAACCATCTCTATCCCTGTCCTCAATCTACATGAGAGGATTAGACACAGGAAAAATTTGAGGCATTGGTTGTGCAGAATTTAAGCAAGAGAATGGTCTTTTCTAGTCCTTGATCTTTTCTCTCTGTGCCAAGGAAAAGAAGAATTCCAAAAAGATCAGTTGAAGACTGGATATGGCTTTCAAGAAGGAAACACTAGCATCACTCTCCTCAGCTTAAGTGCCTGCTGAGATGAGAGCAGCAGGCCTATCTGATGTTCTCGTGAGAAAGAAGCAAGAAGGCAGATTTCTTGACATTGCTTTGTAGTTGTTTCTCGAAGTTTCGGAGCCTACAGGAACATAAAGATGGTGTCTGTTTCCGGTCCAGAGATTTCTGAAGGCAAGAGATCTGCTAAGGTAGCCCATGCGAGCAGTGTGTACAGAGATAATGTAATGAGCTGGGGGCAGAAGAGAGAGTGGCGTCCTATATTCCACTTTGCTCTGGCTTTTTGGACGAGGCAAGGAAGTTAGGATCTCAGTAGCTTCTCATAAAAGCATGTGGAAATTAGAGGTGATTCAGGTCACTTCCAGGGCAAAACAACTCAAGGTCCAATTTTAATAAGGAGTCAGGGGATTAATGATAAGACTGAAGTGAGAGTTGGCTGCTTTTCTCTGAAGCTGGTTTTCAGATACAGAGGATACAAGATGAAGTGGAAAAACTGCTTACATTATATGCTTGCAGGTACACTTAAAGGAATCACTCATCTCTTAAAAAAATTCTATTCTACTCAAGCATTATTTTCCAGATTTAAGATCCCCTTTACATTCTTTCAACAGATACTTATTGAATACTGACAATGTTCCAGGTCCTATTCTTGGTGCTGGGGATGTAACAATGAACGTAGACACATATATAGAGAGAGGAAGACTATAAACCGAGTCCTCTATCAGTGTCAAAGCTGCCAGCACAAAGATTGTGAGTTGTACTGATGGCAGTGTCAAGCACAAAGCAGGAGCCCTGATATACATTATACTGAATGAATAAATTAGGTTAAATTAGATGACTTCTAGGATCATTTCCAGTTTTGGTAATTTGTGTTTTCCTTATTGTCTCCAACTCTGTTAGTTATGCATATCTTATTTGGACATAATTTTAATATTAATCAAGTACAAATTATATTCTGGATAATGCTAAAGTGTATCATATATTTGTGTGTTCTCATTTAATTTTCATAGCAGCACCATGAGGTAGATTTGATTATCCCATTTTACAGATGAATGTACTAAGGCTCATGAGGTTAAATGTTTTACCCAATTGGCACAGCTGGAATTTGAAAGCTATGGGTTTTTTGTTTGGTTGGTTGGTTGTTTTTTTTCTTTTGCTCCAAATCCTGTACTTTTTCTGTTAGATCACACTGTCTCCCTAATATTATGGTACCGTATACTACAAAGTGCTAGAACATCATATAATTAGCATTCATAGTGAAGACTAGTTTTCAAACTGTCTTTACATTGTATATGTATATATATTATATATATGCATTTATATCACTTTTTTGCATAGAAATACACACACATACACATATATATTCTTAGTTATACTCTGTGCAGAAAGAGAAGATACTCTTCATTGTTTTATGGATCAAAAAACTGTTATTTATAAAAGTTACATTATATAACTAAGCAGAGTTATTACTGAGATTGGAGCTCATGTCTTCCAATGCCAATTACTATATTTTCAACATAAAACAATGTCTCAGTGACCCTCAGAAGATGCTCTTTTCTTCCAAAGCTCCTTAAAACTCTAGTTTAAAACATAACTGCTCTAGGAAGTATCTCCTGGTAATACCATTTGACCTCAAATCATGTGTGTTCTTCATTTATCTTCTGTACTTCCAAGTTTCATGTGATAATAATAGCTAATATTTGTTGAGTCTTCTATGCACCAGATCTTGTTCTAGGCACTATGCATGTAGTGATTCACTTAGAGCTCATAGCATCCTCTTGAGGTAGATTCCATTGCAATTCCCATTTTATAGATGAGGATACTAGGACATAAATTGGTTATGTGACTTGTCCAGTCTTAGAGAAGTGGTAAGAAGCTGAATTAGCTACTTGGGAGGCTAAGGTTGGAGGAATGTTCCAGTGTTTGAGTTCAGGGCAGCAGTGAGCTGTGATTGCACTACTGCACTCCAGGCTAAGCGATAGAGCAAGACGCTGTGGAAACAGAGAAAGAAAGAAAAAGAAAGAAAGAGAGAGAGAGGGAGGGAGGGAAGGAAGGAAGGAAAGAAGGAAGGAAGGAAGGAAGGAAGGAAGGAAGGAGCTGGATTATTAATGTATGAATGCCGACAATCTGGCTCCAGAGGACTTGCATTTCTATCCATTTCATTCTATACTCAATGTGAATTATTTTACTTTGCTTTTAATTAAATATTGTTTTATAAGTGTTGTTCAATCTTTTTTTCATGTCTCACTCAATAGACAGGCTGTAACTCAAGTTCTTCTGTACTACAAATAGGGTTTAGAACAGCATTCTACATAAGAGAGGGAGTCAAGCAAATAATTTGAAAGAGAATGATAGCTCCTTGAGCACACAGGCAACAATTTAGCAATTTTTTCCAGAACAGGAAAAAGGTCTAAAGAAGTTTCCTTATTCTTTTTTTCTTTGAACCCCTTATGGCAGTGAATATTTGACATTAATGTGAAAAATATCATTCTTTCTTATATATTGAATTGTTTTTTTTCCAACCCATGTTGAAATTGTTTTCCAGGAATGGAAATGATTTTGAGCTGATGAGCCATAACCATCCATTGCCCGTGGTCATCAAAAACACTGATTAGCAATTTAGTTCCAGAGGTGAGGGTGACATTCTGTGACTACAGACTAGAAGAAAACAAATGAGTTCACAGAAGAGTTAAGCCAAATAGTCTTTCCTCTTCCAGTCACTCCCCATGTTACACATACATATTCCTCCACTATATTAGTCCATTTTCACACTGCTATAAGAACTACACAAGACTGGGCAATTTATAAAGAAATGGGATTTAATTTAATCACAGTTCCACATGGCTTGGAGGCCTCAGGAAACTTGCAATCATGGCAGAAGGTAAAGGGAAGCAAGGCACGTCTTCACAAGGTGACAGGAGAGAGAGCACATGGGAAACTGCCACTTATAAAACCATCAGATCTTGTGAGAACTTCCTCACTATGATGAGAACAGCATGGGGGAAACTGTCCCCAT
>NW_025791816.1:0-68810 GCF_000001405.40 Homo sapiens | reverse complement strand
GATCTCCTGACCTCATGATCTGCCCGCCTCGGCCTCCCAAAATGCTGGGGTTACAGATGTGAGCCACCGCTAATAAAGGAAATAAGATTATTTATTCTTAATAAAGGATAAGGACATTTTTAGATAGTTTTACTCCAAAGCATGAGGATAAAATAGCAAATTTGGAATCTTTATGGCCACTTGAAATAGCCTTTTGACTCAAACATGTAAGTTCCTTGTGGGAAAGGGCTGTCCTATTCATCTTTGGGTTTCTGAAACACACAGACCATAGTGGGATTTCAGTAATAATTTGTTTAATTGAATTACATATTTTTATAATAATCACCCAACTGTCAAGTTTCGTCTTACACAAATAAAATGGAAGCTGCCTCATCCTATCTATTTAAGTAGCAGGCCACGTTAAAAAAGTATGCTACTTAAGATATTAATAGCCATTGACAATCCAAGGTTCTGAGATGCCCAGGAACTTCCCATCTCCAAATGGGAGGTTGGTTACTCACCTCCTTAACTTCTTTTAGAAGTTCAAGAGCACAAGTGAAGTCAGGAGGAGTACTCAATAGCTGTTCTTTCAGATGGTTCCAAAAAGCTTTGTACATTGCCCCTGTAAACCTGCCTTCCACACTATAAGAAGGGTCAAATGAGGGCAGGAGCAGTGGCTCATGCCTGTAATCCCAGCACTTTGGGAGGCTGAGGCAGGTGGATCACGAGGTCAGGAGTTCAAGACCAGCCTAGCCAAGATGGTGAAATCCCATCTCTACTAAAAATACAAAAATTAGCCAGACGTGGTGGCAGATGCCTATAATCCCAGCTACTCGGTAGGCTAAGGCAGAGACTTGCTTGAACCCGGGAGGCAGAGGTTGCAGTGATTCAAGATTGTGCCACTGCACTCCAGCCTGGGCGACACACTGAGACTCCGTCAAAAAAAAAAGGGGGGGTTAAATGAGTAGATTGCTTTTTACCTAGATAATTGATACAGGATCATAATCTCCCAAACAGCATTTAAAATAATGAAAGACCTTTAAATTGACAGGCTAAGAGGACCTATGTTTAGACTTGATAAGGGCTGAATAAACTGAAGTTAGTCTCAGATGAAAAAGCGTTGGCTAAATTCTCTTAGAAGGGTACCTCATGGTTCCAGAGACACTCTCTTCCTGCAGCAGGAAGAACCATAAACTAGAAGTAGAGACCCCGACTTCTAACCCTAGTTCTGCATCTAGTCTGGATGTGTGACTTAGTTTCCACTGCCATAGACTTAAACCTTTGAACCAGATGCTATTTTTCCTTCAGGCCTGAAATCTAGGAAAGGATTTTACCTCTTGATAATACTTGAAGGTCTTTTGAGATGCTTTAAATTCAGCAAGCCCAAAACTGTCTCCTTCAGACAGAACAGGCTTTAAACCAATGAAGAAAAAAACAAAACAAAACAAAGAAGCATATTACAAAATGGTAAAGAGTTCAATTAAAAAGGAAGATCTAACTACCCTAAATATATATGCACCCAACACGGGAGCACACAGATTCATAAATCAAGTTCTTAAAGACCTTCAAAGGGACTTAGATGCCTACACAATAATAGTTGAAGACTTTAACACCACACTGACATCATTAGACAGAGCAAAGACTGAGAAAATTAACAAAGATATTCGGGACCTGAACTCAGCACTGGATCAAATGGACTTGATAGACATTACAGAAATCTCCATACAAAACCAACAGAATATACATTCTTCTCACCTCTACATGGCACATACTCTAAAATCAATCATGTAATTGGAAGTAAAACACTTCTCAGCAAATACAAAAGAACTGAAATCATAACAATCTCGTGAACCACAGTGCAATCAAAATAGAAATTAAGACTAAGAAATTCACTCAAAACCATACAATTACATGGAAATTGAATAACCTGCTCTTGAATGACTTTTGGGTAAATAACAAAATTAAGTCAGGATCAAGAAGTTATTTGAAACTAATGAGAACAAAGATATGACATACTAGAATATCTGAGACACAGCTAAGGTAGTGTTAAGAGTTAAATTTATGGCACTAAATGTCCACCTCAAAAAGTTAGAAACATCTCAAGTTAATGACCTAACATCATAACTAAAATAACTAGATACTCAAAAGCATACCAATCCCAAAGCTAACAGAAGAAAAAAAATAACCAAAATTAGAGCTGAACTGAAGGAGACTGAGACACAAAAATCCATTCAAAAGATCAACCAATCCAGGAGCTATTTTTGAAAACCATTAATAAAATACATAGGCCTCTAGCTAGACTAATAAAGAAGAAAAGAGAGAAGATTCAAATAAACACAATCAGAAACAACAAGGGGGATATTACTCCTGACCCCACAGAAACATAAGTAACCATTAGACAATATTATGAACACCCCTGTGCACATTATGAACTAGAAAATCTGGAAGATATGAATAAATTCCTGGACACATACACATCCCAGGACAGAACCAGGAAGAAATTAAATTCCTGGACAGACCAATAACAAGCTCCAAAATTGAGTCAGTAAAAAAAACAGCCTACCAACCAAAAGAAGCCCGGGATCAGAGGGATTCATAGCTGAATTCTATCAGATATACAAAGAAGAGTTGGTACCCTTCCTGCTGAAACTATTTCAAAAAATTAAGGCGGAGGGACTCCTCCCTAGCTCATTCTATGAGGCCAGCATCATCCTGATACCAAAACCTAGCAGAAACACAACAACACAAAAAAAACTTAGCCTTATATCCTTGATGGACATTGATGTAAAAATTCCCAACAAAATGCTGGCAAACCAAATCCAGCAGCACATCAAAAAGCTCATCCACCATGATCAAACAGGCTTCTTCCAGGGGATGCAAGGTTGGTTCAACATACACAAGTCAGTAATTGTGATAAATCACATAAACAGAACTGAAGACAAAAACCACATGATCGTCTCAATAGATGCAGAAAAGACTTTCAATAAAATTCAACACTCCTTCATGTTAAAAACTCTCAACAAACTAGGCATTGAAGGAACATACCTCAAAATAATAAGTGCCATCTATGACAAATCCACGGCTTACATCATACTGAATGGGCAAAAGCTGGAAACATTCCCCTTGAAAACCGGCACAAGACAAGAATGCCCTCTCTCACCACTCATATTCAACATAGTATTGGAAGTTTTGGCCAGGCAATTAAGTAAGAGAAAGAAATAAAGATCATCTAACTAGGAAGACAAGACGTCAAACTACCCTGTTTGCAGATGACATGATCCTATATCTAGAAAGCCCCATAGTCTCAGTCCCAAAGTTCTTAAGCTGATATACAACTTCAGCAAATTCTCAGGATACAAAATCACTGTGCAGAAATCACTAACATTCCTATACACAAGCAACAGTCAAGCTGAAATCCAAATCAGGAATGCAATCCCACTCACAATTGCCAGAAAATAATTAAAATATCCAGGAATAGAGCTAAACAGGGAGGTGAAAGATCTCTACATGTAGAACTACAAAACACTGTTCAAAGAAATCAGAGATGACACAAACAAGTGAAAAAAAAATCCATGTTCATGGATAGGAAGAATCACTGTCATTAAAATGGCCATACTGCCCAAAGCAATTTATAAAGTAAATGCTATTCCTATTAAAGTACCATTGACATTGTGCACAGAACTAGATAAAACTAGGTTAAAATTCATATGGAACCAAAAAAGAGCCCGAATAGCCAATGCAATCCTAAGCAAAAAGAACAAAGCTGGAGACATCACAGTACCCAACTTCAAATTGTACTGCAGGGCTACAGTAAACAAAACAGCATGGTACTGATACAAAAACAGACACACAGAACAATGGAACAGAGTAGAGAACCCAGAAATAAGGCTACACACCTACAACTATCTGATCTTCTACAAAGCTGACAAGAACAAGCAATGTGAAAAGGATTTCCTGTTTAATAAATGATGCTGGGAGAACTGGCTAGTCATATGCAGAAGATTGAAACTGGATCCCTTCTTTATATCATATACAAAAATCAACTCAAGAAGGATTAAAGACTTAACTGTAAAACCCAAAACTATAAAAACCCTTGAAGATAACCTAGGCAATAGCATTCCGGATATAGGAACAGGCAAAGATTTCATGATGATGACGCCAAAAGCAATTGCAACAAAAACAAAAATTGACAAATGAGATCTAATTAAACTAAAGAACTTCTGCACAACAAAGGAAACTATCAACAGAATGAACAGACAACCTACAGAATGGGAGAAAGTTTTTGCAAACTGCACATCTGACAGGGGTCTAATATCCAGCATCTACAAGGAACTTAAATTTACAAGAAAAAACAAACAACCTGTTAAAAAGTGGGCAAAGTGCACGAACAGACACTTTTCAAAAGAAGACATACATGCAAACCAACAATCATGAAAAAATCTCATCACTGATCATTAGATAAATGCACATCAAAACCACAATGAGATAACATCTCACACCAGTCAGGATGGCTATTATTAAAAAGTCAAAAAATAACAGATGGCAGTGAGGCTCGGGGTGGGGGGGTGCGGATGTGGGGGAAGGAAAACTTATACACTGCGGCTGAGGAGTGTAAGTTACTTCAAGCATTGTGGAAGACAATGTGGCGATTCCTCAAAGACCTAAAAACAGAACTACCATTCATCCCAGCAATCTCACTACTTGGTATACACCCAAAGGAATATAAATTGTTCTATCATAAAGACACATGCACACGTATGTTTATTGCAGCACTATTCACAAAAGCAAAGACATGGAATCAACCTAAATACTCATCAGTAAAAATAGACTGGATAACGAAAATGTGGTACATATACACCATGTAATACTATGCAGCCATAAAAAGAACACAATCATGTCCTTTGCAGAAACTTGGATGGAGCTGGAGGCCATTATCCTTAGCCAAACTAATGCAGGAACAGAACATCAAATACCACATGTTCTGACTTATAACTGGGAGCTAAATGATGAGAACGCATGGACACATAGAGGGGAACAACACACACTGGGGCCTATTAGAGGGTGGAGGTTGGCAGGAGGGAGAGGATCAGGAAAAATAATTAATGTACACTAGGTTTAATATCTGGGTGAGGAAATAATGTGTACCACAAACTCCCATGAAATAAGTTTAACTATATAACAAACCTGCACATGTACCCCTGAACTTAGAATAAAAGATAAATTAAAAAAGGAAAATGAAAGAAAACATATTATTCAGTAACCATGTTTTTTTTTTTTTGCTTTTTGTGTTTTGTTTTGCTTTTCTGAAGCAGGGTCTCACTCTGTTGCCCATGCTGGAATGCAATGGCGTGATTTCTGTTCACTGCAGCCTTGACCTCCCAGGATCAGGTGACCCTCCCACCTCAGTCTTCCGAGTAGCTGGGACTACAGGCACACACCATCGTGCCAGGCTAATTTTTGTATTTTTTTGTACAGACATGGTTTCACCATACTGCCCAGGCTGGTCTCGAACTCCTGGGCTCAAGCAATTCGCCAGGCTTGGCCTCCTAAAGTGCCGGGCTTACAGGCATGAGCGACTGTGCCTGGCCTATATTCAGTAAGCTTTTAAATAAAATAAACAACTATTACTGCTTTATTTTTAATATAGCCATGATATTTGGTGGATTTTCTTTGGACGCTATGCTTCTCGATATATAATCAAGTGATTCTAAACAATACTTTTATTAGTACCTATGTTAGTTCAGGTTCCCTGAGAGGCAGACACCAAGATAAGACTCCTGTGAAAGAGATTAATTATGGGAAAAGGGGATAAAGGGGAGGGAGCAGAAGTCAGGAAGAGCCTTTGGATCATAATGCAGAAATGATGTCTGTGAAAGGAGAAGAGGAAGGAAAAAATAAAGATAGGTAGGAATACTTTCAGACTGCCCCACAGTTCTAAGATTTCTTAAAGGTTGATAGGGATACCACGAGTCAAAGTTGCCTGTTGGAGGTGTTCCTCATCTCTGAGGAATTGACCCGCACTACTATTTCCCACTCAGTGATTATCTAGGAGAAGTCTGAGGGAAGCATGGCTTTGGTGCAAATGCAATAGTTGGTCCCGAGGGACAGCAGCTGGGGCCATCAAGTAACTATGCTCTCTATAGCCAGGGATCTGAGCAGCACATTTTCATAGTCACCACAGTCCACCTTTGTACTCGACAGATCTATTTCTCCATTCAGGTTCATGGAACAGTTCCTTCCTTATTCCTTTAAGCTTCTCTTTATGAAGCCAAACTTTGAAGAGGGAGGATAGTGGGACACACTACAGCCCCCCTTGCTGCATTTAGTTTCTGGGCCAGAACTGGTAATTATTATCTTCCTTTTCCACTACCTATTTGAAATGTCCCTCACACAGTTATTATTTTGACAAGTCTTGGAAGCTTACTTAGCCATGTGAACCAAACTTTCATTGTGGAGGTGTCCAAACTCTTTTCAATGACATTATCCATTCACAGTTAAATGAAGCAAGAGAATACCAGGAGGCACTCAAGTAGATCACCTGGTTTCATATGTATTCCTTTCTTACTCATTTTACTAAAGCAGCCCTACCCCTCCTACACATCATAGTCAATTACTCCTGCCACATGTGGATTCCCCTTCTTGTGCGGCGATTCCTGGATATCAGTAGTCCAATCCGTGTTCAAACCACTGCTGTGATCCTTGTGGGCCACTACGATGGGGAGTAGGCACACTCCTGCTTTCACCTCTTATTCCTAATCCCATTCTTCCAATTAGATCTAAAGCCTAACGTATAGGTCTGTGATTTAATGTATACACTGCATCCTGGAGAACGGCACCCAATTTTTTCAGGGTTTACTTTTATTGGTGCTTTATCTTTGCCTTCAGAAGTGTTCTGTGAGGTCAGCTCCTTCTGGATGGTGCAGTATTTGATATGATAAGTGGATCCTCTTGTTCTGGACCCATTTGTGCCCCTTCTTTACTATGAAGTGACTACCCTGTCCAGATGCTCTGTTGTGTGGGATTCCGAGACTATGGCTCAAGAACCCCCAAATCCCTCAGATGCTTAATGAGGCTGTGCAGGCAGAAAAGGCAAATCCATACCCAGAATAGGTACATAGTTCTGTGAGCATGAACCACTGACTGTTCCAGGATAAAAAGCATACAATATAGTCAATTCACTGCTAAGTGGTCTTCATAAATAGTGTCGTATTTGAGATAGAGCCTTGGTCGCTGTTGCTGCAGGTTGGATATTCATACAGGGAAGCAGCTAAATTGTCTTGGTACACAGGAGTCTGTGATATTGGGCCCATATATTACCTCCATTTCTTCTGCCATGGCTAGTTCTTTGAGATGTCTATTGGACCAGTCCTGAGAAGGCCAGAATGAATGCTGGTTAATGTCAGTGGTCAAAGTCGCTTTGTCTACTTAGTTCTTCAGTTACTCTTTCACAATTGATGCTTTCATGTGAACATTAAAATAGGATTGATACAAAAATCTTCCTATTTCATATCACTTCCAATATGTCTATCCACATGCCTCTACTCTAGACTTCCCTTTCTCTGATCTTTTCCTTCCAAGCTCCTGACCAGCTCACCAGACCTTTGGCTACTGTCCAATAATGCATATATATTACCATCTTGGACCACTTCTTTTTCCACAAAAAGTGGATAATCAGGTGCACTGCTTGCAGTTCTACCCACTGGGAAAATATTTTCACTCCCTGCTGCCTTTCAGGACCACCTCTAAATGGGGCTGTAATACAGTCACCACGTATTTTGACTTACGTTCACATACCAAGCTGATCCTGTAAACCAAGCTTGAGCTTTCCTTCAACTGGTTATATGGGACCACATACTTTAATATGGCTATAGGTTCAAACCAAAGGAGAGGCACTGGTGCAACTGTGGTGGATAGCATGGGGATCTGGGCTATCTGCTCATATACCTAACCTGTGTCCTCTGGTTTTCCTCGGACTTAATCTAGGATATTCTGTTTCCACCGTATTATGGGCTACTGCTGGATTCATCTTACTTTATGACTTAGAGGGTATAAAATGTGTTGCTTCAAAAACCCAAAGAGGCCTGCCAGATGCTGTGCTTCCTTCTTTGTGGGAGACGATACAAGATGCAGTAACTTGTCTTTAACTCTGCAGGAGATATCCTGGCATTCTTACAACCACTGAACCTGTTATAATTTCTGTAAAGTAATGGGCTTATCTTCCACAGTCTAGAGCCCATGTGTCTTACAAAGGCCTCTAGTGTAATAACCACATCTTGCTCTTCCTGTCCAATCAGCATATCATGGATATAATGGGTCAATGTGAAGCCCTGTGGGAGTGTATATTTTGTTTGCCCTGAGGCAAAACTATAAATGAATATGTTATCTCCATGTGAAAGTAAATGTTCTGATCCTTTTTTTAAGTAAATGCAAAAGAATACATTAACCACATCAAAAGCTACATACCACGTAATTAGGCTTTTTTAATCTACTCTGGCAATGCTACCACATACAGTACAGCAGCTTTTATCAAGGATACTCCATGGCTGGACTTGTGGTAGCATGCTATTATTCTCCAGAATCCAATTAGGTTCTGCAAAAGCAAGATTGGCAAAGCAAGTGAAAATATGATAGAGACCACAGCTCCTGTATCTATTAGGTCTTTAACAGTGACAGTAATTTCTTTCTCCACCTTGAGAATGCTATATTATTTGTGATTTATTGCCTTGCCCAGAAGTAAGGGCATCACCATAAGTTTCCACTTAACCTTTCCCACTATGAGATTTCACATCCCACAGGACAATGACTCAATAAGTAGTTATTCCAAATGCCAAGTATATAAATCCTAATTATACAATCAGGATGTGAGGGAAAAGAATATAGAAGCTGTAGATCCACAGTGAGCCAGACTTTACACAGAAATTTGTTTATTACCTGGCCTCTGTAAACTCCCACTATAATAGTCAGGCCATCATGATGCCTTGGGTCTCTAGGTATCAATGTCAAACTCAGGCACTGTGTTCAATAGTTGTTGAAATGTCTGGGTATTCTTATTCCCCTTGTACACAGTCATCTAATGAATGGCTATAATTCCCTTTGTGGAAGGACTGAAAGAATTATTGTAATTACATACTTACTGAGATGCTACAAGGTTCTTTTTTCTAGAGATCTGGCTCCTCCTTTAATAAATGTGTTCTGGATCTAAAAATTAGCTTGGATTCAGCAACTGAACAAGGGTCATGAATTCTTATTGAGGAAACCTCTCTCAGCCTCCTAGTCTTACACTCTTGTCTTTTTCAGCTTGTATATGTTGAGCAACACCCATGTTGGCTGATCATCAAGGGCTGGTGATAGCTGTGAAACACTATCTTTGGCTGGGTTTTCTGGTTTTCCATAATATAGTCATTCTAGGCTGCCCTGGAACTTTGTATTTCTTCCTCTATGGGATGCCAGGGTACTTCAGTCATCTCTACTTCACTCAGCAGGGGCCATTGCTTTCTCCAGGCTTTGAAGAACCACACTAGCAGCAAGTTTACTTCACTTCCTAGGGTCCTTGCTAGAGTGTTAAATCCCATGTTCCCAGAAAGTGCTTTCAACTCAATGATTATTGCTTATCCAGTATATTCTGGTTACCTTGATCAAGTATCATTAAAACCCGATATCAAGGCTATTTCCCCGGCTCCTACCAGTACATGCTATGTAATTCTTACATACGACAACTTCAGTATATAATCTCATTCCTTCCTTATCAGGCTCAGAATGTCCTTGGCTGCATCCTGCTGTCACTTAGCCCTAATTAATGGTCTGGTAACCTTTCCAAGGAAGTAAGGGCAGTTTCTGAGGGTGGCACTTGTTGCATTGCTGGGTGAGGCCTCTGTAACATGAGGAAAGTGTTTATTCTTATGAGACAATCATGGGCCACCTCTGCAACTTCTGAGGGTTCAGAGTAATCTGCGGAACCAACATTCTCAGGACCATCTATCCAGAATGTCCACACCTGCTATGGTTTGGATATTTTGTCCCCTTCAAATCTCAGGTTGAAATGTTATCCCCAAAGTTGGAGTTGGGGTCTGGTGGGAGATGTTTGAATCATGGGGGTGAATCTCTCATGAATGGCTTTGTGGTAATGAATGAATTCTCCTTCTGTGAGTTAACATAAGATCTAGTTGTTTAAAAGAGCCTGGAACTCCCTCCTCTCTCTCTTCCTCCCACTTTCATCGTGTGATATACCTGTTTGCCCTTCACCTTCCGCTATGATTGTAAGCTTCCTGAGGCCCTCACCAGAAGCAGATGCCAGCACCCTGCTTCCTGTACAGTCTGTGGAATTGTGAGCCAAAGTAAACCTCTTTTTTAATAAATTACTCAGTTTTGGGTATTCCTTTACAGCAACATAAATGGCCTAATACAGAAAATTGGTACTGTGGAGTAGTAGAGCATTCCTATAAAGATACCTGAAAGTGTGGAAGTCACCTTGGAAATATGTAACAAGCAGGGGTTGGAAGAGTTTGGAGGGCTTAGAAGAAGACAGGAAGATGAGGGAAAGTTTGGAACTTCTTAGACACTAGTTAATTGGTTGTGACCAAAATGTTGATAGAAATATGGACAGTGAAGGCCAGGCTGATAAGGTCTGAGATGAACATGAGGAAGTTATTGAGTACTGGAGCAAAGATCACCCTTGTTACATGGTAGCAAAAACTTGGCTGCATTGTGCTTATGCCATAGGGATTGGTGGAAGGTTGAACTTAAGAGTGATGATTTAGGGTATCTGGTGGAAGAAATTTCTAAGCAGCAAAGTGTTCAAGATGTGGCATGGCTGCTTCTAACAGCTTGTGATTTGATTCCAGAGCAAATAAATGACTTAAATTTGGAACTTATATTTAAAAGGAATGCAGAGTGTAAAAATTTGGAAAATTTGCAGCCTGGATATGTGGTAGAGAAGGAAAGAGTATACTCAGGAGAGGAATCCAAGCAGGCTGCTATGGAGCAACCACTTGCTAGATAGATTTACATGACTAAAAGGGAGCCAGGTGCTAATACTGGGGAAAAGGGCTAAAAGCCATTTCAGAAGTTTTTGGGACAGTCCCTTCCATCACAAACCCAGAGGCCTAGGATGAAAGAATGGTTTCAGGGGCTGAGCCCAGTGCCCAACTGCCCCACATAGCCTCAGGACACTGCTCCCTGCATTCAGGACCCTCTGGCTCCAGCCTTGGCTCAAAGGCTCCAGGTACAGCTTAGTCCATTGCTCCAGAGGGCAAAAGTCATAAGCCTTGGTGATTCCTATGTGGTGTTTACCATACAGGTGCATAGAATGTGAGCATGAAGGAGCCTTTGGAGCTTCTACCTAGATTTCAGAGGATGTATAGGAAAGCCTGGGTGCCCAGGCAGAAGTCTGCTGCAGCAGTGGAGCCCCTGCAGAGAGACTCTACTAGGGCAATGCAGAGGGGAAATGTGGGATTGGAGCTCCCACACAGAGTCTCCACCTAGGAACTGGCTACAGGAACTTTAGGAAGGGGGCTGCCACCCTCCATACCTGAGAATGATAGAGCCACTGGCAGCATGCCCGTTGAGCCTAGAAAAGCCATAGGCACTCAACTTCAGACCATGAGAACAGCCATGGAGGTTACACCCTGCAAAGCCAGGGGAAGGGTTGCACAAGCCCTTGGGAGCCCACCCCTTGCACCAGTGTGCCCAGGATGTAGGACATGGAACCAAGGAATATTTTTGGAAATCTGAGGTTAAATGTCCCCTGCTGGGTTTCAGACTTACATGGGAGCTGTTGCTCCTTTCTTTTGGCCAATTTCTCCCTTTGGGAGTGGGAATGTCTACTCAATACCTGTACCACCATTGTACCTTGGGAATAAATAACTTGTATTGATTTCACAGGCTCATAGGCTAAAGGAACTTGCCTTGAGTTTCAGATGAGAATTTGGACTTTGGACTTTGAGTTAATGCTAGAATGAACTAAGACATTTAGGGACTACTGGAAAGGAGTGATTGTATTTTGCAATGTGAAAAGGATATGGTATTTGTGGGGCCAGGGGTGGAATGATATGATTTGGATGTTTTCTCCCCTCCAAATCTCATGTTGAAATGTGATCCCAATGTTAGAGGTTGGGCCTGGTGGGAGAAGTTTGAATAATGGGGGTGGATCTCTCATGAATGACTTTGCGCCATTCTTGCAGTAATGTGTGAGTTTTCAGTCTATTAATTAATGCAAGATTTAGTTTTTTAAAAGAGCCTGGAACTTCCTCCTCCTTCTCTTTCTCCTACTCTCATCATGTGATATGCCTGCTCCCCCTTTACCTTCCACTTCTCTTTCTCCTACTCTCATCATGTGATATGCCTGCTCCCCCTTTAACTTCCACTATGAAAGTAAGCTTCCTGAGGCCCTTACCAGAAGCAGATGCCAGCACCATATTTCCTGTACAATCTGCAGAATTGTGAGCCAAAATAAACCTCTTTTTTTTTTCTTATAAATTAACGAGTCTCAGGTATTCCTTTATAGCAATGCAAATGGACTAATACACCATCCCATGTTTCTGGATCCCAGATTTTTTCGACCTAGGTCATAACATGAATATAACATACCTGTCTTGACTCAGTATTTAAATATCTCTGAAGCTCTGCAACTGTCCCAAGTCTGCTGTTCAACTGTTTCTGCTTTTCCACTGCAGGAAGTACGAGCCTCTTTCTAAGCTACCAGAAAGACTCTTAGATTTTAATACTTAGCTCTAGTTGCTTGGTGATGATCCTCAGTTTTTTGTTTTTGTTTTGTTTTTGTTTTTGTTTGAGACAGAGTCTTGCTGTGTCACCCAGGCTGGAGTGCAGTTGTGCAATCTTGGATCACAGCAACCACCCCCTCCCAGATTCAAGTGATTCTCCTGCCTCAGCCTCCCAAGTAGCTGGGACTACAGGCGCCTGCCACCACACCCGGCTTATTATTATTATTATTATTTTGTATTTTTAGTAGAGACGGGGTCTCACTATGTTAGCCAGGCTGATCTTGAACTCCTGACCTTGTGATCTGCCCGCCTCAGCCTCCCAAAGTGCTGGGATTACAGACGTGAGCCACTGCACCCAGCCCAACCCTCAGTTTTTCATTATATCTCTTCAGAGTAGCAATAAAAATTATCCAACTATTAGCTAGCCTACTTGGCTGCCTGACAGGCATTATTTCTCTCTTATTTTTCAAATGCCTGAATGCTAGCAAGGGTGTTCTCCATCTACAGGATATGTTTCCAGGTCAGGACTGGTGAAATTTTTAGCTATTTGATCACTATCTTGTGCCAGGAACTCTCTGTGTCCACATACCACTCAAGATGTTGTTTTATTTGCCCAGTGGGTAGCGAGTGAGTCAGATCCCAAACTCCACTGTATCATAATTTTTCTTGGACAGCTCCTGTCACCACTTATGTTAGCTCTTATCCTCTTAGAAGTAACAACTCAAATGGGAATAGATGAGCAAGAGTTTAACTGGGGACAACACCTGTGAAGGATAAAGGAGAAGGAGTGGGAGAAGGTGGAGAGAGTGTTCAGATGGTAATGCAGATCTGACATTGGTGAAGGAGAGCAGGGAAAGGAGGAAGATTTGACAGGAAGAGCCCTAGACTGTCACATAATCCTAAGGTTTCAGCTAGGCTGAAGGGGAGCTGTGGAGCCAAAGACTTCAATTACAGAAGCCCTGTAACTTACAGAAATGCAACTGAATAGTGCTAGTTATTGGCAAGGATCAGCCCATGGGATTCATGACCTCAGCATGAATGTGCTAGTGGATTCAGAGGGTCAGCAACTAGAACCATCAATCAACAATACTTCCCACAGCAGGAGATCTAAGTGGTGCATTTTCATGGCGCCAGATTATCTTATAAATTTTTAACTGAGCTAAAAATTCCTGATGTATGGCTGCTCCACCATTTGTGATTACTTCAGTTTTTTCAGTTTATATTAATTAATGATATAATAATATGGACTCAATTGCACTAAATATTTTTAAATGACCATTTGGTCTTCAATTGATTTTCAAATGGTTCAGAAAAAAATAATAATGTATTCTTCAATATGAAGGGAGAATGAGAAAGCAAATATAGCAAAACTGAGAACTGGGAAATGCAGTGAAGGGCATGTGGGGTTTTTCTCAAAAACATTCTATAAGTTTGAAATTATTTCATAATAATTTTTTTAAAAAAAGATCACTTACATAATGATGGGAGATCTTTTTTCTTTGTTTCATTTTGTTTTTTAACTGTGACAGGGTTTCCCAACTCTATCTGATATTAAAAATTATGTCAAAGGAGCTTCTTAAATGCAGGTTTTCACACCTGACTCTAATCTATTAAACTAGGATCTTTAGAGAAAGAGCCTAAAAATCTTAACCCCAAGTGCTTCTTATGATGTGTTAAGTTTAGAAAACATTACCTGGTGACCTTGAGAAGTGTATTTAAATAAAAAATTAAACAAAAGAAAAAATAAAATACAATAATAGTTAAAAAAAATAAACCAGGTGATATGGTTTGGCTGTGTCCCCACCCAAATCTCATCTTGAATTGTAACTCCCACAATTCCCATGTGGAACCCAGTGGGAGGCGATTGAATTACGGGAGTGGGTCTCTTCTGCGCTGTTCTCATGATAGGGAATGAGAATCATGAGATATGATGGTTTTAAAAACGAGAGTTCTCTGCACAGGCTCTCTCTTTGCCTGCCACCATCCGTGTAAGACGTGACTTGCTTCTCCTTGCCTTTCATCTTCCACCATGATTGCAAGGCCTCCCCAGCCCCATGAAAGTAAGTCCAATAAATCTCTTTCTTTTGTAAATTGACCAGTTTCAGGTATGTCTTTATCAGCAGTGTGAAAACGATTAATACGCCAGGCAATATTAAGCATTGGCAGACATGAAAAAGCAGGAATTCTCATACATTATAGATACCAAATTTGGACATTTTTCAGGATTGACTTCTATGACACTGAAAAATATCCACACATATATAGAAACGACTGTTCTAGAAATTTCAAAATTTGATATTAGTATGAAAATTTTATGTACACAGAAGTTCAATCAACATCATCTATGATAATGAACACTACAAACAACCCAAACATCTATAAATATGAAAATGAATATGTGTGTACAATAGCAAAGACTTGGGACCAACCCAATGCCCATCAATGATAGACTGGATAAAGAAAATGTGGCACATATACACCATGGAATACTATGCAGCTATATAAAAGATGAGTTCATGTCCTTTGCAGGGACATGGATGAAGCTGGAAACCATCATTCTCAGCAAACTAACACAGGAACAGAAAAACAAACACCACATGTTCTCACTCATAAGTGGGAGTTGAACAATGAGAACATATGGGCACAGAGAGGGGAACATCACACACTGGGGCCTGTCTGGGGGTGGGGGGGCAAGGGAAGGGATAGCATTAGGAGAAATACCTAATGTAGATGATGAGTTGATGGGTGCGGCAAATCACTCCATGGCACATGTATACTTATGTAACAAACCTGCATATTCTGCGCATGTATCCCAGAACTTAAAGTATAATAATAATAATAATAATAATAATAATAATAATAATAATAAGAAGAAGAAGAAGAAGAAGAAGAAGAAGAAGAAGAAGAAGAAGAAGAAGAAAATGAATATGTGTGTATTATCTTTGTTTTTGAAGGGAGATATTTGGACTGATTTAGAGTAAAATGTGAATAGTATATTTCCTGTAGCGGGGATAAAACTGATATTATCCTTCTACCTTACCTGTGTTTTCTAATTTTGCTGAGGGCTTTTTCTGGTACCTTGGGAACTTGCTCAGCCCAGGTGTAGGACAACTTAAAAGTGCCAGAGATTTTAACATCCTCAGCGTGACATCCACCAATAGAGGGCCAAGTCTGTAGAAAAATACCCCAACTTCTCATCACTAGTTAGGATAATTCTGAGGAGCACTCTAAATCATTTCTGAGACTTGGAGGGTCCCCAGCAGATTTGAGCCAGTTGCCTTTTGGTCTTGTCAGGATCTGGTGCTGTATTTAAAACAACTTTTCCATTCTATTATATAAAAAATAACATGCTAAGTTCTATTTTTAATGGTTTAATGTCTTTTATGCAAACATTTAGTGTCTATTTTTAAGTGTATGAGAATGATAAGGCACTTCATTGTTTTTGAAAATAGTCAATTATCCCGATACAATTTCTTCAATCTAACCTTTCCCCACTGATTCAAAATATTTCAATGCATTTACTAGCATTTTTTCCATATTTGGGTTTGATAATTGAATTTCTTTTCTGGTTCATTTGTTCTAAATTTATTCTGGTACACTATTATCTTAACATTGTAATTTCACAATACTTTTTAAACTTTTATTTTAAGTTCAGGAATACATGTGCAGCTTTGTTATATAGGTAAACTGATCCTCTCCCTCCTCCCATCCTCCACCCTCCTGTAGGCCCCAGTGTTGTTCCCCTCTATGTGTCCATCACAATACATTTTCATCTGTCAGGGTAGCTTCCCCAAATTATTGTCCTGAATCATCAGGGCTAGGTGTTATTGTAAATTGTGGTTACACTAATACAATTTAGAGGAGATCATCAGTTTGTCACAGGTTCTCAAGACATGAAAATCCACCAGAGAGGCTCTATTAGACTCAATGCATCATTTCACGGAAGGACATGTAGAGATCCTTCACGAGAAAATCACTTCTTTCCTTCTTTCCTTCCTCTTTTCTTTTCTTTTCTTCTTCCTTTCTTTCTCTTTCTTTCTTTCTTTCCTTCTTTCTTTCTTTCCTTCTTTCTTTCTTGACAGAGTCTCACTCTATCGCCCAGGCTTGGTGTGCAATGGTGCTACCTCGGCTCACTACAACCTCTGCCGCCCAGGTTCAAGCAATTCTCCTGCCTCAGCCTCCCGAGTAGCTGGGATTACAGGCGCCTGCCACCACGCCCAGCTACTTTTTGTATTTTTAGTAGAGACGGGGTTTCACCATCTTGGCCAGGCTGGTCTTGAACTACTGACCCCGTGATCCACCCACCTCGGCCTCCCAAAGTGCTAGGATCACAGGCACGAGCCACCGCTCCCGGCCTTATTTCAAAGTCCTTAAAGGAGGCAGGGGAATGCTTTCTGGAAGGTTTATATTTATAATATGATTCAGCAGGAGAAACAGATTGCCATGTTTTTACAACTCGAATCCTGTTTTTTCAACTGAAAATAATTGTATTGTCTAGTTATAAAAACAACAACAAAA
Organism: Homo sapiens; assembly: GCF_000001405.40. Taxonomy (NCBI): domain Eukaryota; kingdom Metazoa; phylum Chordata; class Mammalia; order Primates; family Hominidae; genus Homo; species Homo sapiens. The sequence goes on along the minus strand of NW_025791816.1, from coordinate 51,594 downwards.
TGAATGCATGCTGATGAAAAATAAAAGGAACCCCCTTCCCAAATAAACAAACAAAAAGGAAAGTAGTTGAAGTGAAAAAAAAATTTGAATACCACTTCCTGCCTATTTTCCAGACTTCCTAGCCTCTCGCTCCCCACCCCTTCTCCGGGTTCCAATCTGGGACCAAGCCCTACAAGACTGTTAGGGCTTTACTTGCTGGACGTGAAGGGGAGAGAAGTGTGCGTTTAGGTGTATAGAAGAGGAAGAAGCGATTTTTTAAAAGCTCCAGCAGAAACCAGAGCAAGCCAAATACAAAATATTATGACCCGTTTGGTCGTGGGGATCGCTAAATAAAAAAATAGAGGGGTGGATAGTAGCCTGTGGTAGTGGTGGAGAAAGCACGAATGAAGAGAAAGGTGGCCCCGCCCACAGTCCCGCCCCCACCCTCCTGCCGCACTGCGGGTGTGAATGGTAATTGGAAATCTGAGCTCACAGTGACGTGACCCTTAGGAGACCCAGAGCCAATGCGTGGATTAGTCCCTCCTCCTAGTTGCAGTCTGGTAGTTGTCGCTGGCCGTGTGACGGCTCGCTGTTGCCCTGAAGGCAGGCGAGCCAGCTGCCCAGGAAAGGTGGAAAGTGGTAGAAGCTGACCCCTGAGCCCTGGCAGGTAGGTGGCGCTGACCGGTGTGTGAGCAGCAGAGGGCAAAGACCAGAGCGGGTCTAGGACTGGATACACACCCTTTCCAGATACACACCCGTTTAGTGCGAGAAATGGAGCGGTTGGGGAGAGGATCTCCCGAGGGGGCTGGATTGAGAATGGGTACCATTTGAGATCTCCTAGGAGGCCGGCCATCGGGCAATGTCTGATGGAGTCCAGCCGGTGGAGGAGACTGAAAGGAAACAGCCTGCTTCCTGCAGGTCCGCGGGAGGGAGGTACAGCCGGCAACCAAGGGTTGGGGAGGGCGGACCCTGCCAAGGTTTTAGGCCTGCCTTCTAGGTATCTTTTCTTCACCCTCTACCCATTTAGAGCTGGAAATGATAGGCTGCGGGGGCCGAGGAGAGGAATTGCTGCAGAGGAGGGGGACAGAGATTAGGTCTGGAAAGCAGGTCCCTATTGCGGCAGTTGAGCGGGCGAGCTTCTGACTGAGGGACAGAGGCGAGGAGCGAGAAACTGTTTTTGGTCTCAGCAGGTCGGTCGGTGTAAGCGTGGGCGCTACCTGTAGATCCTGGAGTGAGAATGACAAAGCGCAGAGACCGCAGCAGGTCCTAGTTTTCAATGCCCACATACCTCTTCACTCATCGTCCATCTTGATGCATAAAATGGTGGGCATGGGAGTGGGGATCGGGTGGAGAGAGGGCCTGATGGATATCTAGATTGAAATTCTTTGTGAATAAACTACGTATTCATTCAGCAAGCTCTTCTAACTCCCCCGCCAGGCAAGTTGCCTGCGTTGCAGAAAGGGTAACTAGATGACAGGTAAGAGGAAACAGTAGAGATGGGCGCCTAAAGAAGAGGTTAAAACGTTTTGGAAATAATCATCTTTGATGCCTATTTCTGGAAGGTGGGATAGCCTGTCACAGGGTGGGAAAAGAAGCCGTGAGACAGGATGGAGGAGAAACAGAAGGTGCTAATACTAGGAGAACCCTAAATCAACTCCCATTACCGGTCCTTTGATTAAAAGATCAGTCCTGGTAATTGTCACATTTGTCTGCAGGTCTTTAAGTGCGTTTGTGCAGCCGATTTCAAGGCTAAGAGAGAAAGACTGCCTCTGATCCCTGAAGGTAGGAGGTTGCCTGGGGCCCTCTGGTGTAGGGGTATCAAGGATCAGAGCAGAATCTGGGTGACTCACAGCCCTTCCTGCCCGAGTTGAGTGCAGGAGAAACTTAGGAGAGTCTTCATAAAATGACAGCCTGTATCTGATGAGGGAAGAAGGGAGTAGAGGGGCGAGATCTGGGGCGCTCCTGGAGAGCTTATTAGGATCCCAGGGAGGTGAAGTCTGGTCTCTCTATGATCGTCCCCCTCCGCTAAGTCGTCTTGCATTTTGGCGGTAGGAGTGGCCTGGGGAAGGGATTTTCAGGGAAAATGATGGGCTTTGGGGCAGCGCTGGGTCTGGGGCGCCCCCTACAGGGTTCATAAAGTTTCTCAGGTGGGAAAACCTTTGCCAAACAGAGCTCTGAATCCTATCAAGCATTCATTCCCTCTTCTTGCTTTTTATCTTCTAGGAAGAAAAAAAAAAAAAAAACAGGAAAAAAACTCAACATGGAAAATGTCCCCAAGGAAAACAAAGTTGTGGAGAAGGCCCCAGTGCAGAATGAAGCCCCCGCTTTAGGAGGTGGTGAATACCAGGAGCCTGGAGGAAATGTTAAAGGGGTTTGGGCTCCACCTGCCCCGGGTTTTGGAGAGGATGTGCCCAATAGGCTTGTCGATAACATTGATATGATAGATGGAGATGGAGATGATATGGAACGGTTCATGGAGGAGATGAGAGAGCTAAGGAGGAAAATTAGGGAACTTCAGTTGAGGTACAGTCTGCGCATTCTTATAGGGGACCCTCCTCACCATGATCATCATGATGAGTTTTGCCTTATGCCTTGAATCTTGAGGTTAATAATCATAAAATCCCTGCTTTCTAAATTCGCATTTTTCCTGGTGTACCTTTAATGTGAACCTTTTGGCATTCTTCTGCAATTTTCTGATTGGAGATTGCATTTTGACCTAGTCTGTAAGTTTTTCTGTCAGAAGAGGACTTTCATCAACTTTCATGGAAAGATGTTTATTGCATACTGTAAAGTTAATAAAGCAATTTAAAAGCAGTCTACAGATAGACTATTTCATTTAGATGTGTACGTATGCACACTATATATAATATATATGAAATATATATATATATATATATATATATATATATATATATATATGAATGAATGAAAACCAGAATGTGCTTTTTCTATGTTGTATAGTTACTGGTACTTTTAAATTTCTTTATTTTTTTCTTGGTTATCCACTTTTTCTCACTTTTCCAAAATGAATACATGTGTTTCCTATGTTTCAGGGAAAAAAAAAGTAAGAAGCAAGGAACTTGCCAATCAACTTATATAGGAAATGGGGGCAATTAATAAACACTTGAAACACAGTTTAAAGACATATAAATCTTATATTACCTATGGATCTCTCATTTAGAAACATGTACCTGATAATTACAGGTACGTTACATTATAAATGCCTTAGACGGCTGCTGTGGGAATCAAATGAGGTGATGACTGAGCTCTGTGTCTTGCTCTATTTATACATGCAAGGCTCCAGCCCTCTAAGTGCCCTTCATATTTAGGGAAGATTCCAAGGAGAGTGCCTATCAGCAAGTCCAGTTGATTTCCAGGTGAGTACGGGTTCAAAATCCATTATCCGAAATGCTTGGGACTAGCATTTCAGATTTCAGATTTCTGGGGTTTTTTTTCTGTTTTTGAAGCATTTGCATGTACATAAAGAGCTGTCTTGAGGATGAAACCCAACTCTAAACATGAAATTTATTTAATTTTATATACACCTCAAACACATAGCCTGAAGGTAATTTTATACAATATTTTTAATAATTTTGTGTGTGAAACAAAGTTTGCGTATATGAAGTCAGGTGTGGAATTTTCCATTTGTAGCATCATGTCATGTTCAAAAAGCCTTGGATTTTGGAGCACTTCGATTTTGGATTTTTGGATTAGGGATGCTCAACTGTAAATGCTTTTCTATTCATCTGCTACTCTGGCTTTCTTTCCTGCATAATACCATAACTATTAGGCACATCTTCCTCTTCTCTTGCGTTTTGCTCCCTCCACTGGCTTCTACCACTGCAGATGTACTGGACTTCTAAAGATGACAAAGACCCACCGATTTCTCTGGAACCTTCAGTAATCCGAATCCCCATTTTGCCTTTTCAAAAATGTATAGAGTGTCCCTCCCTGCTTTAGAGTTATAATTAAACCAGGCAGATACTTCACCAACACTGCTTATAAATGCAAGCAGCCCTTTATGGTTTTCTCCCACTTCCTTCCTCATCCCCTTCTCCCAGACAAATTTGAGTGACACTCATGATAGTGTGCTCAGAATTGGACTATCTCTTCCATCCTCTGATGAATATAGCTTAGTCTCCTTGACTATCAATTTTCTGTGCAGACATTGCTACAGGTTTCATTCTGCACATACACAGGAGTTGTAGGGATAATTTTATGTTCCCAAGACTGTTCTGGTTCACACCACCCTGACCTCAGGAGTCCCCAGTAGTCTACACTAACTTACACGGATCCAGATACGTTTCCCTCTTCCTTTGCTTTGAGATTTCTGTGCCAAATAAACCCGTAATTACAGATTGATGGGAAATAATGGCAGGAACTGGGGATCTGGTAGGTGAATCCCAATTTTAAAACATTGTTCACAGTCATCACTGTTCCCCACTAAACTGTGTCCTTCTCACAGTAAATATTTTGTCTCATTTATACTGGTACCCTTAGTGTTTAGTACAGGGCCTGATAAGTTGTAGGGCACAACAGTTAATTATAGCTGAGTTGAATCCTGCAATCTGGACCCAGGGTTGCTTCTGATTATTTATGGGCAAGTGCTTCTTTTCCCTACACACTGTAGCTTGCAATTAAAAAGGAACACAGCAGAAGAAGCATTATACGCCAATTTCCAAAAAAAATGCACTTATCATAACATTATATATGTCAGTGTTTATCAGCATGTGCTATATAGACCAGCTGCATCAAAATTGCCTGAAGAACTGGCTAAAAATTCAGAAAAAAATGTGTTTCAGTCCATACTCACTGTACCATAGTTAATCAGACATCTCTGGACTTACATAAATTAAAGTGGAGGCCCCAGCTTTAGTCAATCTCAGACACCCCTCTCCCCACCTTATATTTTATAGAAATGGGTGGTTAGTTGATTGGTAGATCTGAGACCTGTGAAAACACTACATAGAATTTAATTAATCTATATACATCAGGCATTATTTTCCCATCAGACGGTGCCCTTCTTAAAGAGACAACTACTTTTTATTTTTTAATGCTATTGTCTTTACTGCATAAGTTCTCAATCCTTGCTTCAGATTTGAAATACCTGAGGATACTTTAAAGTGGAGCTCAGTACCCAATTCCAACCAGTTGAGTCAGACTCATTAAAAGTGAGACCAACAGATCCTTAGTGTGAAAGATCCCGTGGTGATTCCGATGTAGAGTAGAGTTGAGAAGTGAGTGAAATTTGTGGCTAAAATATCTTTGGCTTATTTTCTCTGTACTATCCCTGATTGTGTTACCCTAAGCAGGTTAATTTGTTTATATAGAATTTATATCTTGTGAAAGAAATACCCTAGGGGAGGAATTATACCCCCAAATCACAAAAACATCCTTTTAAGAAAATATTTGCCAGTGTTCGTCCAGCTTCGCTAGCCTATCAAATACTTCAGAATTCCACTTGGAGCTTGTTTAAAATACATAATTCTGGCACCATCCAAAATCCACTCTTTGGCAATGGTACTCAGGTAGCTACATTGTTAACAATCTTTAGGTGATTCTGATGCACATTAGAGTTTGTTGGATCACTTGTGCGTACATTTTTATCCAGATTATGTTAAAAACAAACCAATAAAATAACTAAAATAAAATATAAATGTTCGCCCAAATTCAGGGAAAGGAGTAGCAAGGAGAAGATGTATATGGGCACAAAAAATAATATAAAAAGCTAAAATAAAAATTTTAAAACATTAAATCATAAAGGGAAAGATTGACATTCACCATGTAAAAAATATTAAATCTTCTGCAAAGTAAAGCAAGACTGTAAATAAAGTTCAAGGAACTTCAAGGAATTTCAGTTAGAAAGGAATATGTTCACTAAATCAATTATACCATGGTGACTATAGTTAATAACATAATATTGTCTACTTGAAGTTGCTAGGAGAGTAGACTTTAAGTGTTCTCACCACAAAAATTGATTAGTATGTGAGTTAATGCATGTATTATATTGCTTAATTCAGTACTTCCACAATGTATAAGGATATGAAAACATCATTTTGTGCACCATAAATATATACAATTTTTACTTCTCAACTAAAAACGTAAATTAAAATAGAAGATGAGACGAAGAGCAAAGGCAGCCATCAGCAAGCCAAAAAGAAAGGCCTCAGGAGAAACCAAGCCTGCTGACACCATGATCTTGAACTTCCAGCCTCCAGAACTGTGAAAAATAAACTTCTACTATTTAAACCACCCAGTATGTGGCATTTTGTTATAGCAGTCCTAGTAGACTGATAGAAGATATAACACATATTGGTGGTTATCAAGGACTAGGGGAGACAGTAACGATCAAAAACTGCTTTGTGGGTGAGGGGTTTTACTTTGGGGTGATGGAAATGGTTTGGAACTAGATAGAGGTGGTAGTTGCACAACATTGTGAATGTGGTAAATGTCATTGCATTGTTCACTTTAAAGTAGTTAAGTTTTCGGATATTTTTAATTGTGGAAAAATATACATAATATAAAGTTTACACCTCAGCCATTTGTAAATGTACAATTTATTGGTATTAAGTACATTCATTCTGTTTTAGAATCATCACCGGCATTCATCTCCAGAAATTTTGTGTCATTACAAACTGAAACCCTGTACTCATAAACAATAACTTCCTAGTCCCCATTTTCCTCTCCCTATGTCCCCTGGTAACCACTGTTCTACTTTCTGTCTATATGAATTTGACTTTTCTAGGTATCTCATATAAATGGAATCATACAGTATGTGCCCTTTGATGTCCGGCTTCTTTCACCTAGTATAATGTTTTTAAGGTTCACTAATTTTTTAGCATGTAGCAGAACTTTATTCCTTTCTAAAGCTGACTAATATTCTTTTGTATGTACATATAACATATTGTTAATCCACTCATCTCTTGATGTACACTTGGCTTGCTTCCACCTTTTAGCTGCTGTTGATAATACTGCTAGGAACACGGGTGTATAAATACCTGTTCCAGAGTCTGCTTTCAATTATTTTTGGCATATACCCAGAAATGAAATATAGTGATTTTATGTTAATTTTTTGAAGAAAGGCCATAATGTTTTCCCTAGTGGCTGTATAATTTTACATTCCTACCAGCAGTGTGTGAGGGTTCTAATTTCTCCACACCCTACTTGCCTTAGTCCATTTCGTGTTGCTAAAACAGAATACCTGAGGATGGGTAATTTATAAAGAAAAGAGGTTTATTTAGCTCATGGTTTTGTGGGCTGGGAAATATAAGAAGCATGGCACCCACATCTGCTCTTCCTCTATTGTAAGCCATGAATTAGATCAAAACATTGCAGAGAAGTTCAAAGGGAAAGCAGAGATGTGCAAAGAGATAAAACACAAGGAGTGTCCTGGCTTTACAACAACCCACTTTCCAGGGAACTAACCCATTCCAGTGATAACTAATCCAGTCTCATCAGAGTGTAAACTCACTAACTACCTCCAGAGTAGCACCAAGCCATTCATGAGTGATCCATCCCCATGATCCAGACATCTACCACTAGGCCTCATGTTCCAACACCACCACAATGGGGATGAAATATCAACATATATTTTGGTGGGAACAAACTTAGACCATAGCACTCACCAATGCTTATTTTTTTGATAACAATGATCCTAATGGGCATGAAGTGGTATCTCACTGGGCTTTTGATTTACATTTCCTTAATGATTAGTGATGTTGGGCATCTTTTCATGTGCTTATTGGCCACTTGTATATCTTTGGAGAAATGTTGATTCAATTTATTTGCCCATTCTTAAATTGGGTTCTATGTGGTTTTTTTTGTTGTTGTCACTGACTTATGAAAGTTTTAAAATATGTTCTGGATTTTAATCCCTCTTCAGATATAGACCTGCAAATATTTCCTTTTGTCCTGTAAGTTGCATTTTCATTCTCTTGACACTGTCCTGTGATGCACAAAAGTGTTAAATATTGATCAATTTCTATTTTTTTTTACCTATACTTTGTGTGTCATATTGAAGAAGCAACAGCCAAGACCAATGTCATCAAGCTTTCTCCTATTTTTCTCTAAGGTTTTCATAGTTTTAGATTTTACATTAAGGTCTTTAATCAACTTTTAGTTAATTTTTATAAATGATATGAGATAATAGTACAAGTTCATTCTTTTGCATGAGAATATCCAACTTTTCCAGTATCATTTGTGGAAAAGACTACCTTTTCTCCATTGAACGGAAAACAACTGTAATGAAAAACTTGTTAGAGCAGCTCAATAATGAGTCTGAAGTGAACGAAGAGAGAATCAGTGAGCTTGAGGATAGATAAATGAAGATTATGAGTATAAGGAACAAAAAAACAAAGAAAAATGGAGAAAAATATAGAGACATTAGAGAACCATGGCACACCATCAAGCGTACAAGCATAGGCACGAAGGGAATTCCATAAAGAGGGGAAAAAGAAAAGTTTCAGGAAAATGTATTTGAAGAAATAATGACAAAATACTTTTTGAACTTGATGGAAAGCACGAATCTACAGCTGACTTTTTATCAGAAATCATGGAGGCCAGAAGACAGTAAGATGACATTTTCAGAAAGTTGAAGGAAAAAGACTTAACTAACACTTCTTAGTCTGGAAACTCTCCTTAAAACTTTAAGGATAAATTAAGACACTCTCAAATAACAAACAGTGAGTAATTTTTAATCAGCAGCACTGTCCTACAATAAATACCAATGAGTCTTTCATGCTGAAATTAGAAAACACTAAATGGTAACATGAATCCACATGAAGAAATAAAGAACACTAGTAAGGTAACTAAATAGGTAAATATAAAAGACAGTGTGGTAGACAGAATAGTGGGTTTCCAAAAGTTATGCATGTCCAAACCCCTGGAACCTGTGAATGTTACTTTTTATGCCAAAAAGAGACTTTGAAGATGTTATTAGGTATCTTGAGATGTTATTAAGTGTCTTAATTATCCTGAATTATCTAGGTGGGCCCTAAATGCAATCACAAGTGTTCTTATAAGGAGACACAGGGAAATTTGACACAAAGGAGAAAGAAAGGTATGTGATGATGGAAGCAGAGAGACATTTGAAGATACTATGCTGCTGGCTTTTAAGATGAATGAAGGGGACGTAAGCCAAGGAATACAAGAAATTCAGCTCCAGAAGTTGAAAAAAATAAGGCAGTGGATACCTGCTGACTCTGGTTAAAACCCCATGAAGGCATTTTAATTTCTTACTTCTAGCATTGTAAGAGAATAAGTTTTTCCTATTTTAAGCCACTAAGTTTGTGGTAATTGTTACAGCAACAATAGGAAATAAATACAAATAGTTATAAACGTATATTTGTCTGTAACTCATTTTTCTCTTATTAGATTAGAAAGAAAACTTGATAAAACAATAATTACAAAACAGATATAATGGCTAAGATGTAATTTCTATGACACTCTTCCTAAATCACAAAGGAGGAAAGAGGAAATGGAGATAGTTTTGCATCCCATTAAAATTATTGATACAAATTCACTTGTTTTAAATTAATATACTAATTTTAATCCCTAGGCCAACTACACAAGAAAATTATTCAAAAACTTTGTACAAGAAAAAGGAGAATTAAAATGGTAGGCCAAAAAAATATCCTTTTAAAAGTAATTCAATAATGGAGAAATAGAGGAACAAAAACACACAACAAATGGAAAACAAATAGCAAAACAGCAAATGTAAATATCACCTTATCATTATTGCATTAAATATAAGTTGATTAAACACTTCAGTCAAAAGGCAGAAAGTAGCAGAATGGGTAAAAAAAAAAAAGCATGATACAACTATACACTATCTAAAAGAGAATATATTTAAATAAGCAAATAAAATTAATGTGAAAGGATGGAAAATATATACTATGCAAAGAATAACCAAAAGAGTCAGATGAAAAAGACATTAAGACAAAAAATGTTATCGTAGAATAAAAACGTGTTATATAACAAGTCCTATCCTTCAGGACTATACAAAAATTATAAACATATATGAACATAAAACAGATTTCCAAAATACATAAAGCAAAAACTTACAGAATAGAAGGAAAAAATTAGAAGAGAATCAAGATAATTTAACAATAGTAATTGGAGACTTCAAAACCACACATTCAAAAATAAATGAAACAAATAAGAATATCAACAAGGAAACAGAAGACTTAAACAAAACTACAAAACCAACTGGAATAACAGACATGTATAGAACACTCCAAACAGCATAAGCATACACATTCTTGTCAAGCACCCATGGAACATTTTCCTGGAAAGACTACATAATAAATAATAAAATCCTATATACACTTAAAAGTATTGAAATTATAAAAATAATATTCCATGATCATAATGGAATTAAATTTGTAATCAACAACATAAAGAAATTCAAAAACCCTGCAAATATGTGGAAATTAAACAATGTACTTCAATTCAACCTGAAATATCATGAGAGAAATTGGAAAATACTTTAAAAACAAAAAAAAACCCCACAACACATCAAAAGTTATGGGATATAGTTAAGCAGCATTTAGATGGAAATGTGTAACAGTAAATGTTTACTTTGAAAAGATGAAAATCCCATATCAGTAAACTTTCATCTTAAAAAGCTACAGAAAGAAGAGCAACTTAAATCAAAGAAATCAGAAGGAAGGGAATAGTAACCACTAGAGTGGAAATAAATGAATTACAGAATAGAACATCAATGAAACTAAAAGTTTGTTCTTTGAAAATATATATAAAACCTGACAAAACTTTAGCTACACTCACCAATAAAAAATGATGAAGACTGAAACTATTAAAATCAGGAATAAAAGAGGGGTCATCATTAGCAACTCTACAGATATATAAAAAAAGATTATAAGGTAATACTATTAACAACTGCATGACAAAAAAATGAGACAAGGTAGATGAATGGGATGAATTCCAAAAAAGACACAACCTACCCAATTGACTTAAAAAGAAATAGAAACACAAGTAACATCATTAAAAATGGTAGTGTATGGAACTCCGGAACTCCATAATGAGCAATTAGTGAGCTGGCAAAAACTGCTACCATCAGCTTTCTCAGAACTCTGGAATCCAGTCAAAAAATTATAACAATGAGAGGAAAATTTGGTGAAGAATAAAAGCTGCTAATTTGTGGTAAGAAAGAAATTTTCAATTGCCTATCTACCATTCTCTATGCCCCAGATTAGCAGTGATCTGTTGATGATAGCCCACTATCCTGGTTTAGATAGCTAGTACCAGTGGTAGGAATTTGGACCGTATTCTCATAGAAGTGTGGTATGGCTATCAGCCTGCCTGGCAGCACTTTCATCACTAAGGCTTCTTTCATTACACCAGACTGGGAGGACTCCCAGGGCTTGGGCTGCATTGGCTCTCCAGTTGGCTTTTGCCAGAAGCATTTAAAATCACAGGTATTGACCAAAGAAGTCTGGAGCAAAGGACAACACTCAGAATAAGCAATGAACAGACCGAGAAGCCTGAGAAGGAAGAGTTAGGGAAACAAGATATGTGGAAGAACAAGCATTTTAAAAAACCCTTTATATATACTGGAAAATCAAGAAGGCCATGTGTATGCCAAGGGTGGGACACATACTCAGAAAAGACCAGAGAAAATGCAAGCATTCAACTTCATTGAATTTGAGCTTCAGGCTCTGCATAAGAAAAATGCAAAGCATTAAAAAGGTACTCCAACTCAGAGTTCATCTGCAAAGACTGGGAAATTTGTTTTGTTTTGTTTTGTTTTTGAGATGGAGCCTCACTCTCTAGCCCAAGCTGGAGTACAGTGGCATGATATCCGCTCACTGCAACCTTCGCCTCTGGGGCTCAAGTGATTCTCCTGTCTCAGCCTCCCAAGTAGCTGGGACTAGAGACGTGCGCCACCACACCTGGTAAATTTTTTTGTATTTTTAGTAGAGACGGGGTTTCACCATGTTGCCCTGGGTGGTCTTGAACTCCTGAGCCCAGGCGATCCACCTGCCTCGGCCTCCCCAAGTGCTGGGATTACAGGTGTGAGCCACCGCGCCAGGCCAGGAAATTATTTTTTTATTTATTGTTTTTCTTTTGTTGGCTTTAGGTACTTAGAGTAACGGCATCCAAACACCAGCTGATTAATAAGCTAATAAAACACAGACTTCAGTGGCCACACATGACAAAGAATACATAATTTGCTAAAATACTTTAAAAAGTCACTAAGTAAACAATAACCCACGAGAGAGTAACAACAAAACCCAAGGAAGAGGGAAAATCTAATTTCCAGAGTCAACATATTAGAATCAAAATATACAGATTTCAACAAAACTTTGTGAGGCATATAAGGAAATAAGAAAACATAGCCCATACACAGGAAAGAAATAATTAGATACTATCATGAAAAAGCCCGTGTATTAGAATATCTAGAAAATATTTTTAATCAACTGTCTTATATATGCTCGAAGAACTAAAGGAAATCGTAAACAAAGGACTAAAGAAAAAGAGAAGAATGTCTCAGCAAATACACAATATCAGTAAAGATGTAAAAATACAAAGAGATGTAGAAATTATAAAATAAATAGAAATTCTTTATTTGAAAAGTACAATAACTAAAAGTCACTAGAGGGGTACAACAGTAGGTTTGGGCAGGCAAAAGAATCAGTGAACTTAAAATAGGTCAATTGAGATTATTCAGTCCGAGGAGCAGAAAAATAAAAGTAATGTGAAAAATGAACAGAGCACACCTATGCATGATGGGGGTTCAACAAGGAGAGAAACAGAATAGAGAAGAAAGAATTTTCAAAGGAAAAATGACTGCAAATTACTCAAACTTGAGGAAAGACACTAATCGATGTATCCAAGAAGTTCAATACACTCCAAACAGGATAATCTGAAAGAGATCCAAACAAAAACATGTTATAAGTATCTTGTCAAAACCCAAATATATGACACTACACTGTAGTGACAAGAATATTAAAAATTTTCTAGTTCTTTGGGTTCAGTGGTGGTTTCACAAATGTGAAAGAGAAAAACAATGGAAGGAAAGTAAACAGTTATTAGCAATTTTCTAGTTCTTTGGGTTTAGTGGTGGTTTCACAAATGTGAAAGAGAAAAACAATGGAACGAAAGTAAACAGTGGGGGAAAAGAAGGGAAAGCAGGGGAGAGAAGAGTAGTCAATGAGAAGAGCATGTTGTGAACCAAGGGTTATGATGAATTTGTGGATCTGCAGTTCATATTAAAAACGTTTGAATGCTTTCCTTTCTAGCTGTCTGACATTCTCTTTCTATGAAAACTGGTCAACTGTTGGAAGGTAACTTTCAAGTGTGGAGAAAGGCCAATGGAGATTATAAGAAGGAAGTTGGTAAATCAATTTGGGGTACATGGGCTTTTGAAATCAATTTGTGGTACAGGGTTTTTACATACCGTGTCCCTCAGGGATACTCAGGCGGTGATGTCCAATAAACAGTTGGCAAAGCTGATATGAGACACGGAGAAGGGAACAGCCTGGAGCTGTAGATCTGGGAGTCATCGGTGTTTACTGGAAATGAATGAGATCACACAGGGAGAGACAACTTGAGGACTGAGGAGAGAGGAGGCCCAGGACAGAACCCCAGGAACACCGCCACTCAAGGTGGCAGCTCAGCTTCCTGGCAGGCACCACTACCCCCCGGGCTCTGGAGTCAGGCAGAGCCGGTATTGAAAGTGGGCTGTGGAGTTCTGGGGCTAAGCGCTCTTGGCAAAGTCGGGTACCCTCTCTGATCAGCTGTCACACCTGGCGATAATGGGCATCAGAGAGAGATGCCTTGCGAGGATGCTGTGAGCTGCGTCAGGTAAAGCACCTGAGATCAGAAAGCCACCCCCTCCTCCTCTTCTTCTTGATGACCCCCACTCCTTTGTTACACACACCCTCTCCCACCTTCCGCAACCTCCTGGTCCCTCGGGGATGGATGGTGAGGTGGGCGGGAAGGGGGTGGTGGTGGCCTAGCTCCCGTGACGCGGTGCTCACGTGAGTGACCAGGCGCCTACGTGGGCACCAGCCCCCGCGCCCGCCCGCCCGCCCAGCGGTCCGGTCCAGGCGCCCGCGCAGAATCAGCTGTCTGAGCTGCCCAGGCGGCGGGGGAGCAGCGAGCGGGCTTCAGCGAGCCGCAGGAGGCACAGGCCTGTCCTGGGTCCCCGCAGGTCAGTGTGAAGGCGTGCGCTGCCGGCGGACCCTGGGACAGGGGTGGAGGGGGCTGGCAGTAGGATTGGGGAGGGGGCGGAGAAGGGATCCGGTAGATTGGGGAGGAGGGGGATGCTGAGCGGGCCGGGGCGGGGGCAGGGGAGGGAGCACCCCGAAGCGAACCTGGCTCGCCTTCTCGACGCCCCTTGCACTGAGCCCTCCATCCATTTTAGTGCTGGAAATGGGGGGCTGGGGGTAGCGACCCCGCAGTGCGACAGTGAAACACAGACTTATTCTGGAAATAACCCCCTCTCACAATCCGCTCCCATGGAAACATCTGACCTCCGCAAAAACGGGGTGGCGCTGAGACAGGTTGCCTCCGGGGGAAGGGGCACAAAGAGGCAAACGCAGTTTGGAAGCATCCTGGTTTGGTGCCCGAGGCCTGGAAAGAAATGGCGGCTGGGGTGCGGGGGAGGTAGGGGAGGAAAACATTGGGTGAGCAGGGCCTAGACTCAGAAAAGGGAACGGAGTCCCTGTGAGCCCGCTGAGCGCGCAGCCCCTACCCCTGTCTCCTGTCTGTCCGCAGGTCTGCGCGTCTGTTGTTCCCAGCGCTCTTGGAGGCCTGCAAAGGAAGAGCAACCTGTCCAGACTCCCCGCAGGTCCGTGAAAGCAGGGGGCTGCATGGACAGGGGCCCACAAGGGTTGAGAGTGTGGAGGGCCCGGCCAAGGCCAAATTGGGACCCCTGCACATAACCCCACCCACGTGAACACACACCTTACCAGGCTGAATCAGTTCAGAGAAGGTGGCAGGGCCTGCCAGGGTATGGCTGGCTCACGTGTGTGGGAGGAGTGGTGGGCTACGTGCTGGGCAGAAGGCCCTCTTGGAGGCCCGGCCAGCTTAGGGGAACCCTCACCAGGGGTGAGATGCAAGTAGTATCCAGACCTGCATTCCACCCCATGCCCTCAGTCTCCCATGTCTCTTATTTGTCTCCTCTTCCCTCCACTGTCATCCCCCAGGACAGGAAAAAGAGAAATCTCGACATGGAAAAACCCTACAATAAAAATGAAGGAAACCTGGAAAACGAGGGAAAGCCAGAAGATGAAGTAGAGCCTGATGATGAAGGAAAGTCAGACGAGGAAGAAAAGCCAGACGCGGAGGGGAAGACAGAATGCGAGGGAAAGCGAAAGGCTGAGGGAGAGCCAGGTGATGAGGGACAACTGGAAGATAAGGGAAGCCAGGAAAAGCAGGGCAAGTCCGAAGGTGAGGGCAAGCCACAAGGCGAGGGCAAGCCAGCCTCCCAGGCAAAGCCAGAGGGCCAGCCGCGGGCCGCCGAAAAGCGCCCGGCTGGAGATTATGTGCCCCGGAAAGCAAAAAGAAAAACAGACAGGGGGACGGACGATTCCCCCAAGGACTCTCAGGAGGACTTACAGGAAAGGCATCTGAGCAGTGAGGAGATGATGAGAGAATGTGGAGATGTGTCAAGGGCTCAGGAGGAGCTAAGGAAAAAACAGAAAATGGGTGGTTTTCATTGGATGCAAAGAGATGTACAGGATCCATTCGCCCCAAGGGGACAACGGGGTGTCAGGGGAGTGAGGGGTGGAGGTAGGGGCCAAAGAGGCTTACACGATATCCCATACCTTTAATGCCTTTGGCCTTCCATTCTGACTTCTCTGATGAGATTATTGTCAACCCTGCTTTCCCTGGTAGATATTTGCCAGGCCCAATGCTTTAACCTTAAGCTGATATTTTTGCTTTAGATGTCAATCTCGTTACCAGCAGCCTTTTGACCCAACTACAGCGCTCTATATTTTAGTAGAGGATTTTCACCCATGTGCATGGAAAAGATGTTCATGACACATTGTAAAAAATAAATAAATAAAGAACAGTTTGCAGAACCTCGTATACGGTTATCAGCCAATATTTATAAAAATGTAAATGTTTGTATAATGCATTTCTGCGCAAAGAAAACCCTGAAAGCATGTACACTAAAAAGCAGGCAATGGTTATTCCTGAAGGGTAGCCAAGAATAGGTCTCACCTGTATTCAAAAATGAGTCCTACCACCTCTTGTATGTACCTCCATGATATTCCTCTGCTGCTGTGCACATCCCTATGTCTTCCCTAGGTCGAGCCAGGTCAGTGGGCACTGTTGCTAGGTCCTCTATCATGTTCCTGGGTCTTCTAACATGAGTGCTGGGTCTGCATACTCAGACCCATACTAAAATATAATACTAAATATTTGTCATACTGAAAAATAAATAAAAGCTGAATACAATACATACTAAGAAATTGAACTGTTTGGTGCGCTTACAAAGGCAATAAAGACACTCAGAATTCCTGTTATCAGAACATAAGATGACAGGTAAAATTCATATTATCTCTGGGACTAAAAGCTAAAGGAATCAACCTGGAAATTCTAACAGATCTATTGCTGTAAGAGTCAATCTTGTCATTTGTAAAATAAGGGTAATACTTGCCTCACAGGACTGCCTGGTGGATCAGATGAGATACTAAGTATGTGAGCTGTGTTGTGACCTGGTCCCCACTAGGCACTCAGGGGAGGAATGGCTCCTAAACTATTCCCATACAGTGGCAGGAAAGTCGATGGAATCAGACACATTGGAGGAGGACTGAGGGAGTTCTCACCATGTCTAGGAATATTTCCAGGCAGCTAAGAAGTAGATGCCACTCTCTCCTGGATACTTCCATGTCTGCTGGGCACTATGCCCTTTTTCCCGGGTCCTGCACCCTTTACTGATAGAGGATTTATGGTGTCAAAGCCCTGTCATTTTCTCTGGAGTCACTGGTGAGCAATGTCCACCAACCCATGACCCCCGTAGAAGTGGATAAAGCCCTCTCTCCACTTTATAGTTACAGTAACCAGGTACACATGGATATCACCTTGGTGCTGCTTGGGCCTCTCATTAATATCTTCCAAATTCTTTTTGCCAAAATAATCATTTATGTGTATTCCTTATTTCTTTGTTTTGCATACATAAATATTGTCCTCACAAAACTGAGATATTGCAGGCTAGGCCAGGAAAAAATACCTGCATGATAGTGGTTGTGCTGTTCTCATGGGTTAATATCTTGTCTGCAGATGCTCTTTTCTCTGTTGAGTTCACTCTCAGGAAACTTGTCAGGTAACACTTTAGCAGTTCGGCAGACCCATCAATACATTTGAGTTTTAAATCCTTTGTAATGAACATGTTGTGGTCCATGAAAAAGCTGCATAGTCATCACCTGGGGAACTAATTAGAAACGCAGAATCTCAGGTCTTGCCTCAGACCTAATAAGTTAGAATCTTCATTTTAACAAGATCCCAAGAAGATTCCTATGCACATTGAAGTTTGAGAAGCACTGGCTTAGAAAGAGACCCTTCAGGCTCCCCACTCCCACCTTTACATAAAATATGTGCCTAAAAATATAAATATATGTGCTATATAAGACACACATCACAGATTATTAAATAAGCCCATGTTTTTCAAAATGAAGTTGTCCTTCCCCCATGAAAAGTAGATCTTGAAATCAATTCAATGGGTCAAGATAGGTAATTTTTTAAAAATGAAATAGGATAGAATAGACTTGAATACAGCCAAACAGAAAATATCAAATAGCAAATAGCATTGTAAATAGACTGAATATTTTTTGTGAAATTTGTGTTTCAGTTACGTACGTATGTATGTGTGTGCACCATGAGTTATGATGAAAATAAATTTCTGACTGTGGGCTGCAGCAAAAAAATTGAGAAAGACTGCACTGGATTCTGCATCTCAAAGTATGGCATGTCCATTTTATATTTGTATTGCTAGTGCCCAACACAAGTAACTGACAAGTAGTAAGCACTTAATAAAAATGTAAATAATAATGACTGAGACTCCAAGTTTAGCCTCTGTCTACCTAAATAACTTTGGACAAATAACTTAAATTGTCTAACAGGATTTACTTACATTCTCCAAAGTAATGAGGAGTAATGGGCTTTACAGGCTGTATAGGACCTTCTATATATAGCAGAATATCAGCAGAGATATTAGTTCACTATATATAGTTCACAGTAAAAGCTTCGCTTACTAAAGAACGCATATTCAGCAGCACCAAGGAGAGCTCCCTCACTGTAAGGGGTGAAACTTCTTAGCCCCTGGAAGACAGGCTCTGCAAAGTGAAACTAAACAACTGTGGAATCTGTGCTATAAAAGGACCCAGGGCTGGGTGAAGTGGCTCATGCCTGTAATCCCAGCACTTTCGGAGGCCGAGGCAGGTGGATCACCTGAGGTCAGGAGTTTGAGACCAGCTTGGCCAACATAGTGAAACCCCATCTCTATTAAAAATACAAAAAAAAAAAATTAGCTGGGTGTGGTGGTGGGTGCCTGTAATCCCAGCTACTTTGGAGGCTGAGGCAGGAGAATTGCTTGAACCCGGGAGGTGGAGGTTGCAGTGAGCTGAGATTGTGCCATTTAAAAAAAAAAAAACAAAACAAACAACAACAACAAAAACCCAGTGGAGGGTTCTGTATGTGCCACAGGAGCACAGCCTCACAAAGGAACGGAAGAAATGCCATAGTGGGAAACCGTGGGTGGTAAGCTGCCCTAGATGGGTAGCAGTTAAGTACATTCCTGCAGATGATCTTACTACACTTACCTTGAAAGAATTAAGACCTTAGATTTTAGAGACAATATATATCATACTGATTTTGTTCTTGGACTCCATATGGTTTCCAGTTTTAAGTGGTACCCAGAGCAAGTAAAAGATCTACAGTAGTTCCAGACTGTAGTGCGGGCTTCTCTGACACTTCAGCCTCATGACCCTGCAGATCCAATTGTATTGTGTCCATGCTAGAAAGAGAGGCTCCATGGAGTTTTAGAAAGCCCCAGTAGTAGATTAAAGTATATGCCTCTAGGGTTTTTTAAGCAAAATCATTCCCTCTTTTCTTGGCAACTAGTCTACATTTGAGAATCTGCTCCTGGCTTGCTATCAAACCCAGTAGAGACTTAACACCTGACCATGAGGTATTAATTTTCCATACTAACAAGCTACTCTTAATGAATGTGTTGCTGTCTACTCTGTTGAATAATAAAGTTTTGTGTGGACATCAGCTTTCAACCGTTAATTGCAAATGGCTTTACAAGATCAGACCTGAGTAAACCAAGAAGGCACAAGTAAATTTCATGTGCAGTTTGATCAGACCTCATTGCCTCTCTCTCAACCAACATATATCATATATGGCATCTTGGTGAATTCTTCATCCTTGTGACCAGTTAGAAAAAGAGATATGAAACAATGTATCAGTTCCTGGTTGTATCTTCCTGGTATATTGATAGTAGGTACAAGTGGATGGCTGCCTCATTATAGTCCCACTCAGGGATAACCCAGAATAGTAGGAAAAAGACATGCTAGGATTTGGGGTACGATTTTGAGTGAATCATATGATTGTCCATTTTGTATAGAACTCTTAATGGTTGGAGGTATGGATCTACCCTGTCTCATGAGCAATGACTAAAACCAGCAATCGGCTGGTCAGGGACTTGAAGAGAATTATTTGGATAATTAATGATGAGGAGGATTTTAGAGGTCCTAGATGTCTTGCGGAGGATTCAAAATTTCAGCCAGACTGAGTTCTCATTGGAGGTTCTGGGGGAAATATATACCCAAGTTCTTTCATGTTGTTTTCAGAATTTGCTTCCTTGCAGCTGTAGGAGTGTGGTCCCAGTTTTTTTTTTTTTTTTCTGGCTGTCAGGCAAGCCATTTTCAGCTCCTAGAGGCCATTTGCATTCCTTATGATGTGAACCCCTCCAGTCTTCACTGTGTAACTGCACATTGATTCTTTCTAAAGCTTCTAACCTGTGACTTTTCTGTCTCTGACTCTAGACCCTTATCTAAAGGGATGATGTGATTAGGTTAGGCTCACCCAGATTGTCTCCTATGTTATGATCAACAGATCTGGGAACCTAATTATATCTGCGAAATCTGTTCACAGCAACACATAGATTAGCATTGGATTGAGTAACTGGAAGAAGATATGTATAATACACTGTGGGCTGGTAACTTGTGGGAACCATCTTAGAATTCTGCCTACCATAGTCTGCCTTCAGGTCCCCCAAATTTATTTCCCTACCAAATGTAAAAATACTGTCAACTTCTCCCAAGATTCGCCAAAATCTCATCCCATTACAGCATGAGCTCAAAAATAAACATGTCACCATCTAAATTATATAAACCAGATGTGGATGAGGATCTTGGGCATAATCCATTAAGTAAAGCTCCTGAAGACATTTCATCCCATCTGCAGATCTGTAAAACTGAGGAGACAAATTATTTGCCCATAAAATTCCCAACCTATGATGATGTGACAAGCACAGGATAACAGTTATAGACAAAAGCGGGTAAAAATGGAAGATAAAAAGAGGTCACTGGCTCAAAAAAATTCTTTATTAGGTTTTAAGGCCTGGGAAAAATCTTTTGTGGCACTCAGCTTCACTCTCTGGATGTGTCCTCTGGACTGTCAGGTCTGTGCTCCGAGCTCTTGGTTCTGTGATCTGAGTAATCCTTCCTTTTTCATTAGATGCAGCATGTGTTCTCAGCTGAGTAGTTTTATCAGACCATTCTTCAAGAGAATTTTGGGGATCTCACAACCTTCTCTCATGTTGTACTCCATCACTTTCATTTAGAGTTGGCAGTGTTTCTACTGATATAATTTTCTTTAAAATCTTGTGAGGTGAGTCTTGCATAAATTACAGTAGGTTTTACTCCATTGAAGAAAATTCACATTGACAGATATTTTTGAAATCATCTTTCTCTATTTTTGTCTCTTGCTGAGGTAGCTGAGCGTGGCTGGTTTCAGCTCCTAAAGGCTACGTTCATTCCTTGCCACATGGTACCCTCCAGCTTTAAGGCAGCAGCAGCAGCACACTGAATCCTTCTTATGCTTTGAATCTCTGATTTCTCTGCCTCTGACCTCTAGACTTGGCCCATCTAGTTCGATTGAGAGCATATTTGAGTCATGCTTTCAATCTCTTGAAAATGACCTTTGTGTGACTGAGTGCTCTGACTTTCTTATTTTTCTAAGGTTTCAGAGAAAGACTGTAACAACTACATCCTCAGCTTTTTCTCTGTGTCATACTTTCAGAAGGAATCTCTTAATTTTGTGTATTTTTCCATTTGGGTAGGATGGGTATTTCCCAGTCCTCAAGTTTTAGTTCCTTTTTGTTTAACAGCTATTCTCTCAATATATCTTTCTCGTCACCTTTTGCCATAAGCAGCAGGAAGAAACCAGGCTACACTTCAAAACATTGCTTGGAAATCATCACAGCTAAATGTCCCAGTGCATCACTTGCAAGTTCGGCTTTCCACATAAGTGTTGGAGACTATTTCTCAGATTTCCATGCCACTAAATATAAGGATCTTTTTCCTCCAATTTCTAGTAACTTGCTCCTCACATACTACTGGCCCCTCACCAGCAGAATCTTTAGGGTATATGTTTTTACTGACAGTTGGATAAACATCGTCGTGTTCCTCAAAATTCTCCCAGCCTCCATCAACTGCCGGTTTCCCCAGCCACTCTCATATATTTAGGCATTCACTACTTTCAGTACCAAAATTTTTATTAATATTCTGTTACTGTGTAACATATCACTTCAAATGTAGCAGCTTAAAACAACACCTACTTATTATCTGACAGTTCTATAGGTCAGAACTTTGGAATTCACAGCTGAATTCCTTAATCAGGGTCTCACAAAGCTAAAATCAAGGTGTCAGCTACACTGAGATCGTATCTGGGGATCTTGACAAAAAATAATGTATTACCAAGCTAATTCCTCTTGGCAAAATTTAGTTTCTTGTATTGTAAACTAAAAATAAAATCTCAGCCCCCCACCGACTGAACAGACCACTTCTTGGCCAAGGGGACTCCAGAGAAACCTTAAAAACTGAGTTCCTGGCTGTGAGAGGATGCTAGGTCAGACACGCCTCATTATACCCCCTCCCTTTTACAATTTAGACAAAACAACTGACCATAGTTAATGTAAAAATATATATCATTAATGCTAATAGAATGGACTCTTTGTGGCAATAAGATACAAAATTATAAACAGGACCTAAGGCCATAGCAGGTAAGGGTTAAGTCATGCATGCCTGGACTTAAAGAGTAAACTATGTTTTAACTGCTACAAGATTTTTCTTTTTGTCTAACAGCTACACAAACACCGGCCTTGAGATAAGCAATATTAAAACAATTGTAGCTCACTACCAGACACGGAGTAACTGACTCCCTGTTCCACAAGCCATAACTACAGCTTTGATTGGACAAGAGACAGATTTCAGTAACTTTCTCCTGATAAGAAGACCACTGACCATGGGCTGGTTCTAGGCCAGTTTACAGAGGCCAGAACTTGAGTGCCTTCATGTCCCTGCTTTACCTTTTAACTTATAGAGACTAATTGTAATATATTTAAATGTTAAGTTTCCACCCCAATGTGAACGGGGTTCATATATAACATGGATGTTTATTCAATAGGCATGCATTAGGACTCACTGAATTATATTCATATCTCCTCCTATAACCTGTTGAATATGTATGCTTAGCCAACCTATCCAGCATAAATTCCTGTCTTACCCCTTTCTCCCTCGAAGTGCCTGTTTCCAGGTTCTGCCAGAGGCTATGCTTCCCAGACTGTCAAAATGACCACCTTGAAGGCTGTAACTCTTTATAAAAAATAAAATCTCCTTTCTAAATTTACAAATTGTGTCATTTTTAAGTCAATATACTGTAGGTCTGAGGTCCCCAGTTAGGACAGAAACAGATCATCTTAATTCAAGTTGGGACTGACCTTATTTAAAGCTAGGCTTTAGATATTGTGAAAACAGGTTTATTTTCCATTTACCTTTATTTCTAGAGCATAATGTTACCTGGTACCAACTGAAATTCAAGGACGTATACCAGGACCCTTCCTCCCTTGGAACCTGAACTTCAATTTCTGTGTCCCAGCCTTTTAAAACTGCTGAAAACTTTACTGCTTCTCAGCCTAATATCCTTAACTTTCCTATCAACAAATGTCTCAAAGCAAAAAAGTTCTACCAAGTCTAGGTTTCATGTCTGTGGAATTATTTTCTCTTTAAAATTTTGGTCACACAAGTCTTCAGTGCTTTGTTATCTCCCCAGTGTCTTCAAACAGATTGTTTGTTTTCTGTTCGGCTTTTCTAGTAGTTCTTCATGGGAGGGTTTGCTCTGAAACAAGGTGATCTACCATTGCTAAAAACGTTATTTTTTTTTCCTAATTATTAAGAACTTCTTCCATAATAGATGCCCTCTGGTGATTATTTAATTGAGAAACAAATATTTTGGCACGCTGTTTACCTTGTGAACAGTTCATGCACATACTTCCCCACTAAACCTCCTCATCACTAATTTTCCAAGTTTGTTCTTTCCAAGTCCCTGAAAAGCCAGCCAACTCACGTGCTGTTGCTCATGAATCAGGCTGTCTCTCTTTCCATGCCAAGTGAGCAACAAGTTATATCACTGAAATTTCTGCCCATTAGTAAGATTTCCCTCTGCTGCTGTCTTTCCTGAGTGAGATTGTAGTAGAGCAGCCTTTCTCTTCCAGTGGGTTCCAGCATGCCATGTACATTCATCTATAAAACAGACCTATACTTTTCTATTCTCTAGTTACAGGGAATGTTCCATTAGGCCACAAATGTGGGTTGATAGGGAGGTGGCCAAGCAGTAGCAGACAGTACCTTGAGAGTCTGAACTTCTTGCTTATGTAGTTTTCTTGTGCCTTTTAGTTACATTTAAATTCAGTCAGTTATGTATAATTCTCATCTTAAAATAGAATTCTGCTGTGCATTTCTAGTTATGTGGTTTGATGAATTAAACAGTAGCTAGTTCATGATAACATTTCTAGGTGCATAGTTACTTGGAATAACATAGTCAGATGTTGGGTACCAGCCAGCACCCAGCAGTTACTTTCCAAATATAGATCAGTTATTGGTTTATTTCCTCTACACAGCATCTCACAAGCTCCCCAATCTGATTATGTTATGATACAGTTTGAGGTCTCCAGAAATTAGCCTCAATCCTGAGCCTTTAGCTAATAACTCCCAGAAGATTTTGGTATTTTATTTTCCTTAGTGCACAGTCACTCTGAAAAGTGTCTGTAGGTCCCACTGGGAAATGTTTGATGTAAGAGTCACAGTATACACCAGTGGCTGCAAGATCATACCTTGGACGTACCCTTCCTTCCCCTCAGTTGGGTAAGAAGTTTAGAAAACATGCTACAGCATCTTGAGTTAGACTTTCTTGCAGATCTAGAAATTTTTTTCTGCCTGAATATGTCAAGCAGCATCCAATAGGCTGCCCAATTATTTCATTTTAAGGAATGCTCTGATTAGCTATCACCACAAATCCCTGTGGGCCATAAATTCACTAATTACCATTCAATTCCTGTGGCTTATTGTGGTAGTTCCACTCACCTTGTCTCAGATAATTAAGCCCTGTCACCTGACTTCCACCACTCTGGGATTCCATAATTCACATTAAGATGAGGTAGGACAATTCTACTGCAGCATTCTGCACCATCATCTCCAGCCTACAAAGCACAGGCCCACAGAAACTTCAAAGATGCTCTTGACCCTCTCACAAATGCATTTCTTAATGCCTCAGAGTATGTCTGCACAAATGTCCCTATCCCATATATCACAGTTCTATTCCTTCTCTACTAGTGTCCTTACTTTATTGTAAAAGCAACTGCATTTAGAGCATTTAATTGGCAGCGGAACCACAACACCATGAGGACCTAGCCTTGGTTCACAGCTATATCTACCCTAAGATGAGGGACTCCTTCAACAATGCCTTAGAGACTTTCTGGTGCTGTAAATATGTTCTCTGCTGTATTTTTGTAGCTTCCAATGTCCTCTTTTTTCTATGCATACTCTCTAGGGTTGTCAGATGAACACAGATGACTCCAGAAACTTCTTGGTAATTATTTTTGTTTTAGTACTTAAGTAACATAACCACTTGATTTCTCAAACCTTTGGATTCCACTCGCACTTCATTCCATGCCACCAGTGGTGTATGAGTTATCGTCATACTACTACATACCGTGTACATGTGAACCTCTCCTAACAGCTTCCCCCTACTGTTCTCAACCCTATTGTCAGTAGGTTATATTTTTCCCTCAAATTTACAAGGAACCCAATTCCTGGAGTGACTTCCTGTATCTGTTACTGTACCTGAAAAGTGCATTGCAGGAAATAGGGGGTACATTTGCAGTGGAAAATTTGAGGGCAGTTCTTAATAAAGGAGAATAGACAAAGGTATGGGAAGGGTATTAGAGAACCAAAATGAGTAGTGCAATACACCATGGCTACTAAAGGTGAGATTACCAGAGGTAGGCCTGAGGGACAGAGGCAAAGAGGGGTAACTCAAAGTTGGAGGTGCAGAGCCTATGTGGAGAGGGTTACCTTCTAGGAACCTTGGGAGAAGGGACCCCACCAGCATCTGACAACACTGCAGGGAACAAGTTGGGAAACAAATTTCCTGACTGCACTCACCACTGCTGGCTCCCAGAGGACAAGGGAGCCCTTTGATGTGGTCCATATAGGTCAGAGTACTTTGGGAGACAGAGCAGGGTAAAGAAGAATGTAGAGTGAATTGGGATGGGAAGATGGGGAGATATCCACAAATGAGTGAGGGCCATGTTAATAGTACTCATTAGGAATTGTGCCTGCAGCTTTATGCATATCGTAAGGAGGAGGATAAAAAGCATATTATTTTGTGAAAGTGAACTCCAGTAGGGCTGAGATTTGCCTGAGCTTTTTATCAAAATAAGAAATGTGCCTGCATGGCATTGACCCATGGTAAAGGCACAAAACATTGATTAAGAGTGCTGTTTGATAATCATGGGTCTGAGGAATTTGGGATGATTTTTACCAGCCTGTTAGCTTTATTGATAACAGTGAGATTGATCATTTAAACCTAGTCTCAGTGAACCTCATTGCCAAGGGCTCTGCCGTTGAGACTGGCTACATAGCAAGAATATGCTTACATAACCAGCAGTGTACCAGAAACCTTGACTGAGACTATTTTGCGTTCTCTGGTTTCAAGGTATTCTATGCATACATTAATGGTTCCTTATCTGAAAAGAGAAGTGCATCCTGCCAGGGCTATTATAAAGAGGGAAGATAATCAAAGCTCATACCTGGCCACTCCAGATCCCTTACTATTAGACAGCTTTTGACTATGATGTTTCTCCTTAATGCTGTTGCTATGTTGCATCCATTTTTTTCTCCAACAAACTGTAGATTTGCAATCATGACCATTTGGGGTCCCAAGAGTCTTCTTTAGCGGTGGAACTGTTCAGCTGCCACAGTTATCATGGCATCTGGAGGAGGAAATACACTATACTATGATATGCTTTGACTTTGCCTTTGTTTATAAGTGTGGTTTGCTCTAAAGATACTTTCGGGTTCTAAGCAATAAATATATTAAACCTTGACTTTATGGATTTTTACTTTTAACCTTTGTTTTAGAACTTAGAAAAGACTTCACCTTCCCCACCGAAAAAGAGACAGTGTAATTCTTTTTTCTGCTTACCTTATGGTTTACAGTTAATACAATGGAGATCATAATGAATATATAAATCAGTGGTGATTAGCCTTTATTATGAATCAGAATCACCCAGGCAGCCTGTTTAAGATGGAAATTATAGAGCTCCACCTAGTGGATCTGACATGGGGATTATAAATTCACAGTTTTGATGAAGTCTTATGGTGATTCTGACATGTGACAAACTAGGACACTTTAAAAATGCATTAATAAATGAGATAAGGTTAAATTCATGGTACAAACCCTTCTCCATGGTGTTTCTTTTGGAATTGCAAGTAAATGCTGCTAGAGATATAGAGTCCACAGTTATTTATGTAGACAGGGAATGATTTTGGACAAGAATTCTTGACTCAGGTATTATTATTTACAAATTCATCAAGAACCTATTACTTATCAATCAGGCACTGTGCTAGGTATTGGGGTACCAGGATAAAGAACAGGTTGTGCTTTGACAAGCAAAGTCCAATGTTCCTCAGTTTTAAAAAACCTCACCCCACAGTCAGAAACATATTGTTCAAATATACATAACTGAAATACAAATTTCAGAAAATAATTTTAATCCTACCTACTTGCCATATAATCTGATGTTTACTATCTGGTTCTGGTTGAATCTACTATATCCTATTTCATTTAAAAATATTGCAGGTCTTGACCTGCTGAATTTGTTTTAAACTCTGCAAATATAGGAAGGTGAAACTTCAGTTTGACAAACACAGGTCTATTTAAAAATCTGTGATGTGCATCCTATGAAGCACATGTATTTATCCTTCTAGGCACATATATCATGAGAAGGTGGAATTGGGGAGGCTAAGAGTTTCCTCATTAACCTTGCTTCTCAAACTTTAAGGTGTACAGGAATCACCTGCAGATCTTGTTAAAACTAGAAAAGATTCTTATTCAGTAGGTCTGGGGTGAGGCTGTGAGATTCTACATTTCTAACTATCTTTCAGTTGATGCTGATGCAGCTAGTCCATGAACCACTATCTGAGTAGCATTGCTCTAAAAATTACAAATGTGGGTAGGGGTGTTAAACTGGTAAGGTGGGACCTGGAAGGACTTTCCTAGAAGAGAATTTACTCTAAGGAAAGATGAGTCAAGCATACAAGTCACTGACAGATGAGAACAGATGAGTGTGTGCCACTCAAATTTTACCCCAGCCTCTATCTCTGAATTTGGTGGAGAGATGGCTGTATGCAAACACTTACAAACCAACAAGCATAGAAATAATTGTTTTACTAAAAATCTGAAATCCCCCAGGGGCTGAAGCATCACTGAGGTGTTACCCTATTGGGCGAGTATAACTCTAAAGTGAGGAAAGGGACTTTATCCACATTTTCATAGTTGTTGTGGAATGGGGTCAGTAGGCTTGGCTCACTGGAAATCAACTGGACCTTGTTACCTTGAGAACTTCAGCCCATCGGCATCAATGTGAGCTTTAGGAGGGTGCAAGATTTATGAGAAGGAGCACAGTGCCCAGTGGACATGACATTGTCTAAAAGAGGATGGCACCCACCTTTCAGTTTCCTAGACTTATTCCTGGACACAGGTAAGATTTACCCTAGTCCTCTTCCAAGTGTCTGAGGGGGTATTTTTTTCTGCTAGAGCAGGGGAGAAGGTAGATGCCAACCCAACAAATATATTCTCTACCTTATCCAACCCACTCAGCAGTTCTGAAAAGCAAGGTATTATCTCTATTTGACAAATGAAAAGACTGTCCGTTAGAGCAATGGATCTGTAATAACCCCAGATTGACTTCTCCAGATGAGTCCCACAGGTAGGTAATGTGAATTTTACCTATCATTTTAAGTTCTGACAACAAGAACGTTAAGTGTCTCTACTGAACTTCATAAGTTCACTGGACAGTTATTCTCTTTGCTTTTTACATACTGTTCTGATTTTTTAAAAATATTTTATTATTTTTGTGAGAAAAGTAATTTGTGTTCTCTGGGAAAAGAAAGATTAGTAGAAAGAAAACAAAGAAATGAAATCACCTGCTAGCTCACAACTCAGAAAACCACTGTTAACCTTTCATGTATTTAACAAAAACAGACAGATTCTGTAGATGATATTATAAGCTGCTTTATTTTTCCACGAATCATGACGTCTCTGCAATGCACATGTGTGAAAATCTGCTACTGAAACATAGAGCAAGCAAACACTGGCAGGTGGGTCAAAACGCTACTGGTAGCAGGAGGAACGACTAAAGCAAAGTATTACCATAAGGTTAAAACATATGGCCTGACAAATGCCTGCCAGGGACACTACACATAAGGAATGTCTTCAGTGTCCCTTCGTGGGGCCCTGCAGCCACCCCTGAATTCCCTTGGACCCCTAGGATAGAAGGGGTCCTGTAAATTTCTTTGCATCCACAAAAACGCCCCCAATTTCTGTTTGCTTTTTCTCCTTTTATCCTCCACCCTAGCCATGTTGTCAAATTCTCTTATCATGTCCTCATTGCTGAAATTCATATCATGTATGGCTTCCTTATATTGCTTGAGGTACTGAGCCAGCCCCTTGTTGGTTTTTCTTTTGGCTTTCCTGGGTATATCATCCTCAGCTGGGCGCTTTCCTGCAGCCCTTGTTTCACTTTCTGGCTCTCCCTCACTCTCTGGCTCTCTTTCACTGTCTGGCTCTCCTTCACCCTCTGCCCTTCCCCCTCTCTCTGGCTTTCCCTCTGTCTTTGATCCTCCCTGCATCTCTGACTTTCCCTTCCTCTCTGACTTTCCTTCTCCTTTTGCCTTTCCCGCACTCTCTGGCTTTTCTTTATCCTTTAACGGTTCCTCAACTCTCTTGCCCGTGTTTTCTGTGTTTCCCTCGTTTTCTAACTTCTTGTCTTCCAGAATACAAGCTACTTCTGGCTTTCCCTCGTGCGGTGGCTGTTCTTCATTGTCTATCTTTCCTTGATTCGAAGGCATTCCTTCATTTTCATTGAAGAGTTTTTCCATGTCGAGATTTCCCCTCCTTTTCCTTTCCTGGGGGATGGGTGTGGAGGGAAGAGGAGACAAAGAGGAGACATGGGAGACTGAGGGCATGGGGTGGAATGCAGGTCTGGATACTACTTGCATCTCACCCCTGGTGAGGGTTCCCCTAAGCTGACTGGGCCTCCAAGAGGGCCTTCTGCCCACCACGTAGCCCACCACTCCTCCCACACACGTGAGCCAGCTGTTCCCTGGCAGGCCCTGCCACCTTCTCTGCACTGGTTCAGCCTGGTAAGGTGTGTGTTCATGTAGGTAAGGGGATGGGCAGGGGCCCCAATTCGGCCCTGACTGTGCCCTCCACACTCTCAACCCTTGTGGGCCCCTGTCCATGCAGCCCCCTGCTTTCACGGACCTGCGGGGATTCTGGACAGGTTGCTCTTCCTTTTCAGGCCTCTCAGAGCGCTGGGAACAACAGACGCGCAGACCTGCGGACAGACAGGAGACAGGGGCAGGGGCTGCGCGCTTAGCGGGCTCACAGGGACTCGGTTCCCTTTCCTGAGTCCAGGCCCTGCTTACCCACCGTTTTCCTCCCCTACCTCCCCCGCACCCCAGCCGCCATTTCTTTCCAGGCCTCGGGCACCAAACCAGGATGCTTTCCAAACTGCGTTTGTCTCTGTGTCCCCCTTCCCCGGAGGCAACCTGCCCCAGCGCCACCTCATTTTTGCGGAGATCAAGTGTTTCCATGGGTGTAGATTGTGAGAAGGGGTTATTTCCAGAATATGTCTACGTTTCACTGTCGCACTGCGGGGTCGCTACCCCCACCCCCCATTTCCAGCACTAAAATGGATGGAGGACTCAGTGCAAGGGGGCGTCGAGAAGGCGAGCCAGGCTTGCTTCGGGGGTTCTCCCTCCACTGCCCCCGCCCCCGCGACTCCGCATCCCCCTCCTCCCCAATCTACCGGATCCCTTCTCCGCCCCCTCCCCAATCCTACTGCCAGCCCCCTCCACCCCTGTCCCAGGGTCCGCCGGCAGCGCACGCCTTCACACTGACCTGCGGGGACCCAGGACAGGCCTGTGCCTCCTGCGGCTCGCTGAAGCCCGCTCGCTGCTCCCCCGCCGCCTGGGCAGCTCAGACAGCTGATTCTGCGCGGGCGCCCGGACCCGACCGCTGGGCGGGCTGGCGGGCGGGCGCGGGGGCTGGTGCCCACGTAGGCGCCGGGCGGGTCACGTGAGCACCGCGTCACCGGAGCTCTGCCCCCGCTCTTGCCTGACACACCTCACCTTGGAGCTGGGCCCCCCTCTCTTTCCTGACATACCTCACCTTCCATCCCTGAGGGACCGGAGGCTGGGGACGGTCGGAGTCTCGGTGCGTTTGTGTAGCAAAGTGGGGTCGCGGAGAAGAGGAGGAGAGGTGGCTTTCTGACCCTAGGTGCTTTACCTGACGCAGCTCACAGCATCCTCGCAAGGCATATCTCTCTGATGCCCATTATCGCCAGGTGTGACAGCTGATCATAGAGGTACCGGACTTTGCCAAGAGCGCTCAGCCCCAGAACTCCACAGCCCACTTTCAATACCGGCTCTGCCTGACTCCAGAGCCCGGGGGGTAGTGGTGCCTGCCAGGAAGCTGAGCTGCCACCTTGAGTGGCGGTGTTCCTGGGGTTCTGTCCTGGGCCTCCTCTCTCCTCAGTCCTCAAGTTGTCTCTCCCTGTGTGATCTCATTCATTTCCAGTAAACACCGATGACTCCCAGATCTACAGCTCCAGGCTGTTCCCTTCTCCGTGTCTCATATCAGCTTTGCCAACTGTCTATTGGACATCACCGCCTGAGTGTCCCTGAGGGACCCCAAAGCCCGTGTACCCCAAATTGATTTACCAACTTCCTTCTTGCCATCTCCCTTGGTCTCTCTCCACACTTGAAACTTACCTTCCAACATTTGATCAGTTTTCATAGAGAGAGAATGTCAGACAGGTAGAAAAGAAAGCATTAAAACATTTTAAATATGAATTTCAGATGCACAAATTCATCATAGTCCTTGGTTTACAACACACCCTTATCATCGATCCCTGCTTGTCCCTCTTCCTTCCCTTTTCTTTCCCGTCCTATTATTTCCTCCCCTTCCCATCCTTTGTCTTTTTTTTCTTTCCTTTTCTTTCACATTCGTGAAGCCACCACCCACAAAAACTAAGAATCACCAATATTTTAGCTTCTACAGTATAGTGACATGTATATGTATATATACACATGTTTATTTATACACACATATATGTATAGATGTATATGTGTGTACATATGTATGTGTATGTCTTGTGTATATCTGGGCAACAACTATTTTTATTTTGATTTGCAAAATACCTTATCATGATTACAGGATTATGAATTATGTGTGTTACACAAGCAATTCTGATTATATTTCTGCTACACATCTTTCTTCATTTAGTAAAACCTTGATCTTCCTACAGTATTTTGCTCTATCAATATGTGTATTCGTCATTATCACCACATCACCAATAATTCTGTCCTCAATGTTGAATTTTTTTCCTGAATTATCGAGGCTAGGTGTTTCAATTTCATCAGTATAAACTTCCATAAAATTATTATAATTATTCAAGAATTTGATGAAAATAATATCAAATCAGTTGAAAAGAACTGATTTTCTGTTTTAATCATCTAATTATAGTGATTTTAAGCTGTCTTCAGTAACTATTTGCTAAGTTATTTTGCTAATGGAGCCAAAGTATTAACAACTATTTCTCCTCTTTTAAAACATATACACAAAAATGTGGGATTCAAAATTAGTATCATTAAATTTGAAGAAATGTCATTTTATCTAAATTAAAAGATCTGTTCACAAAATGAGAAGTCAACACAACTTTTGCATTTGCATGTAATAAATTGACACATTGTTCCTCAAGTAATTACTACCTTTGGAAGAAGATATAATGACAGTTCTCTTGATGCATAGTATATGTTGATTAAACATATTTTAAGTTAAATGTTTGTCATCCACTTTCTTAGAAAAGTAACATTACTGAACATACCATTCACTAGAGACCTTTTGTTTCTTATTGCAGAATAAAAGTATCATTCCCATCAGTAAAATAAATATAGACATATATTAACACTATAAAATCACTAAGTGATACCAACACCTGGCAGAGACACACACACAAAAAGGAAACTTCAGGCCAATATCCTTAATTAACATGGATGCAAAAATCCTCAACAAAATAGTGGCAAACTGAATACAGTAGCATGTCAAAAAATGTATCCACCATGATCAAGTAGGATCCATCTCCAGGATGCAAGTTTAGCTCAATATACACAAATCAATAAATGTGATTCATCACATAAACAGAACTAAAGACAAAAGCCACATGATCATCTCAGTAGATGCAGAAAAGGCTATGGATAAAATTCAACATCCCTTCATGTTAAAAACTCTCCATAAACTAGGTGTTGAAGGAATGTACCTCAAAATAACAAGAGCCATGTATAACAAATCCACAGCCAACATTATACTGAATGGGCAGAAGCTGGAAGCATTCCCCTTGAGAACCAGAACAAGACAAGGATGTCTCACACACTACCAGACAAAAACAATGCAAAAATGGAAGTAAAAAGTGGAGATCTGTGGTAGGCTTAATAATTGCCTTCAAAGATATCCAGGTCTTAATGCCTGGAACCTGTGAATTTTACCTTATATGGCAAAAGGGGACTTTGCAAATGTCATTAAGGATCTTGAGATAGGAAGATTACCAAGGATTATCCAGGAAGACCCTAAATGTAATAACAAGTATTCTTATAAAAGGGAAACAGAGAGAGATTTTACTACGGAAGAAGAAGGCAATGTGAAAACTGAAACAAGATTCTACACTACAGACTTAGAAGATGAAGGAAAAGGCCATGAGCCAAGAAAGGCAAGGAATGCAAACTCCAGACGATGGAAAATGTAAGAAAATAGAGTCTCTTTTGGACCTCCAGAGGAAGCAAAGCTCTGCCAATATCTTTACTTCAGCCTAGTAAAACTAATTTTGGACTTTGGACTTCCACAACTGTAAGAGAATTAATGTGTATCATCTTAAGCTAACAAAATTGTTATTTGTCACAGCAGCCCTAAGAACTAAAGGTTTCCTAAACCCATTCTGGCTTATTTTAACATAAATATCAGTAATAAGAGTACATTTTTAAAAATGACAAATTTTGGAAAACGTTAAGCTAGATGGGATCCTAGGTCAACAGGTAAAAATAATTAGGACTGTTCAGGGAAAGCCAGGAGATACTTTTATCCTAGAGGTAATTTATGTAAAGTCACTGGCACAGTGACTGGAACATAGCAAGAGTACAATTGGGTGAGTTTTCTTAGCTCCCTGGACAAGAATGCAATGCATTTTTAAAAACTTTTTTACATAATTGTAGATTTATTTGTAATTATAAGGAATAATAGAGATCTCTCTTATTCTTTTACCTGTTTTCCTCCAATGGCAACATCTTTTGTAGCTACAGTAGAGTATCACTACAGAAAATTAATATTGATATACTCTAACAACCTTTTTCATATTTCACCGTTTAACACACATCTATTTGTGTGAGAGTGTGCATGTTAGTTATATGCAATTTTATCACATATTTTTTCCCAGATGGAATCTCAATAACCTCCACATAGATATGAAAGGTGTTATTAAAAAAAATGGTTAGCACAGGAGAAATGACCTATCCAAGCCCTATGATGTAACTGGCTCTCAATGTTCTTTTGCAATGCTCTTCTGAAAAACCTCTTCTTGCAATGCTCTTCTGAAAAGCCTCTTCTTTCGGGGTCAATTGCACATATTTTTCTTGAGAATTTAACATAAAATATACAAAATGAATGATGAAGTATATGAAATAAAGTGAAATGAAGTGACGGTTTTATTTTACAAATTCAGTGGAACTGGTCCAGTGATTGTTCTTTTTTTAATTACTTTTATTTTAGGTTCAGAGGTATATGTACAAGTGTGTTTTAAGGGTAATTTGCATGCTGCATGTAATTTGCATGTTGTGGTGTGCAGATTATTTCATCACCCAGGTAATAAGCATAGTAGCTGATAGGTAATTTTTTAGTCGTCACCATCCACCTTCAAGTAGGCCCTGGTGTCTGTTGTTCCCTTATTTGCATCTATATATACTCAATGTTTAGCATGCACGTATGTGAGAACATGTGATATTTTGTTTTCTGTTCCTGTGTGAGTTCACTTAGGATAATGACCTCCAGCTTCATCCATGTTGCTGCAAAGGACACGATCTCATTCTTTTTTATGGCTATATAGTATTCCATGGTGTATATATACTACATTTTCTTTATCCAGTCTACTATTGATAGGCATTTAGGTTGGTTCCATATATTTGCTATTGTGAATAATGCTGCAATGAATGTACACCTGCATGTATCTTTATGGTAGAATAATTTATATTCCTTTGGGTATGTACTCAGTAATGGGACTGCTGAATTGAATGGTAATTCTGTTTCAAGTTATTTGAGAACTTGCCAAATTGCTTTCCACAGTGGTTGAACTAATTTACATTCACACCAGCAGTGTATAAGTGTTCCTGTTTCTCCACACACTCACCAGCATCTGTTACTTTTCAACTTTTTAATAATAGCCATTCTGATTGATGTGAGATGGTATCTCACTGTGGTTTTGATTTCCATTTTTCTTATGATTAGTGATGTTGAAAATTTTTTTCATATGCTTTTTGGTTGCCTGTATGTCTTCTTTTGAAAGTGTCTGCTCATGTCCTTTGCCAATTTTTAATGAGATTTTTTTCCTGGAAATATGTTTAAGTTCCTTATAGATTCTGGATATTACACCTTTGTCAGATGCATTGTTTGCAAAAATTTTCTCTCATTCTGGAGGTTGTCTGTTTATTCTGTTGATAGTTTCTTTTGCTGTGCAAAAGCTCTTTGGTTTAATTAGGTCCCATTTGTCTGTTTTTGGTTTTGTTGTAATCGCTTTTGGTGTCTTCATTGTGAAATCTTTGCCAGGTCCTATGCACAAAATGCTATTACCTAGGTTATATTCCAGGGTGTTTATACTTTCAGGTTTTACATTTAAGACTTTAATCTGTCTTGAGTTGATTTTTGTATGGTGAAAGGAAGGGATCCAGTTTCAGTCTTCTGCATATGGCTAGCCACCTATCCCAGCACCATTTATTGAATAGGGGGTCCTTTCCCCATTGCTTGTTTTTGCTGACTTTGTCAAAGATCATATGGTTGTAGATGCATGGCATTATTTCTGCTCTCTATTCTGCTCCATTGGACTATGTGTCTGTTTTTGTACCAATATCATGCTATTTTGGTTACTGTAGCCCTGTAGTATAGTTTGAAATCAGGTAACATGACACCTGCAGCTTTGTTTTTTTGCTTAGCATTGCTTTGGCTATTCAGGCCTTTTTTGGTTTCATATAAAATTTAAAATAGATTGTTCTAATTCTGTGAGGAATGTCATTGCCAGTTTAATAGAAATAGTATTGAATCTATAAATTGCTTTGGATAGTATGGTCATTTTAACAATACTGATTCTTCCTATTCATGAGGATGGAATGTTTTTCCATTTGTTTGTGTCATCTCTGATTACTTTGATCAGTGTTTCATAATTCTCTTTGTAGAGATCTTTTACTTCAGTACTTAGCTGTATTTCTGGGTATTTTACTCTTTTTGTGACAATTGTGAATGGGATTGCATCCTTGATTTGGCTCTCAGCTTGGATGATGTTGGTGTATAGGGATACTACTGATTCTTGTACATTGATTTGCATCCTGAAACCTTGCTGAAGTTGTTTATCAAATCAAGGCACTTTTGGGCAGATCCTGTGGGGTTTTCTAGGTGTAGAATCATTTCATCTGCAAAGACAGGTAGTTTGAATTCCTTTTTTCCTATTCGGATGGATTTTATTTCTTTTACTTGCCTGATTGTTCTGGACACGACATCCAGTACTGTGTTGAATAACAGTGATGAGAGAAGACATCCTAACCTTGTTTTGGTTTTGAAAGGGAATGCTTCCAGCTTCTGCCCATTCAATATGATAATGGCTGTGGTGTTTTCATAGATGGTTGTTATTATTTTGAAGTATGTTCCTTTGATGTCTACTTCATTGAGGGTTTTTAACATGCAGGGCTGTCGAATTTCATTGAAAGTCTTTTCTGCATATATCAAGATGATCATGTTGGTTTTGTTTTTAATTCTCTTTCTGTGATGAATCATATATATTGATTTGTATATGTTGAACCAATTTTGCATCCCAGGCATAAAAACAACTTGATTGTGGCGGATCAGCATTTTGATAAGCTGCTGGATTCAGATTGCTAGTATTGTGTTGGGGATTTTTGTATCTATGTTCTTCAAGGATATTAGCCTGAAGTTTTCTTCTTTTGTTGTACTTCTGCCAGGTTTTTGGTGTCAGGATGATACTGGCCTCATAGAATGAATTAGAGAAGAGTTCCTCCGTCTCAATTTTTGGGAATACTTTCGGTAGAATGGTACCAACTCTTCTTGATATTTCTGCTAGAATTCAGCTGTGAATCTATCTAGTCCAGGGCTTTTTCTTGTTGATAGGCTTTTTATTATTAATTGAATTTTGGAACTTGTTACTCGTCTGTTCAGGAATTCAGTTTCTTCCTGGCTCAATTTTGGGAGGTTGTATGTTTCCAGAAATGTATCCATTTCTTCTAGGTTTTCTAGTTTGTGTGCAGAAAGGTGTTCATAGTAGTCTCTGAAGGTTTTTTTCTTTTAAATTTCTGTGGGATAACTGGTGATGTCTCCTTTCTCATTCCTGATTGTACTATTTGAATCTTCTCTCTTTTTTCTTCATTAGTCTAGCTAGGAGCCTATCAGTCTTATTTATTCTTTCAAAGAACTAACTGCTAATTTTGTTGATCTTTTGTATGTTTTTTTCATGTCTTAATTTCCTTCAGTTGCACTCTGATTTTGGTTATTTATATTCTTATTCTAGCTTTGGGGTTAGTGTGCTTTTGTTTATATAGTTTCTCTAGCTGTGATGTCAGGTTGTTAATTTGCAATCTTTCTAACTTTTTGATGTGGGCATTTAATGCTATAAACTTTCCTCTTAACCATGCTTTAGCAGTATCACAGAGATTCCAGTATGTTGTATCTTTGTTTTCATTAGTTTCAAAGAATTTCTTGATTTCTGCCTTACTTTAACTGTTTACCCAAAGGTCATTTAGAAGAAGGTTAATTTTCATATGATTTTATAGTTTTGAGCAATTTTCTTAGTACTGATTTCTATTTTTATTGCAATGTGGTTCGAGAGTGTGTTTGGTATGATTTCAGTTGTTGTTGTTTTTTTTTTTTTTTTTTTTGAGACAGAGTCTCACTCTGTTGCCCAGACTGGAGTGCAGTGGCATGATCTCAGCTCGCTGCAAGCTCCACCTCCCGGGTTAATGCCATTCTCCTGCCTCAGCCTCCCGAGTAGCTGGGACCACAGGCACCCGCCACCACACCCGGCTAATTTTTTGTATTTTTAGTAGAGACGGGGTTTCACCGTGTTAGCCAGGATGGTCTCGATCTCCTGACCTCATGATCCACCCACCTCGGCCTCCCAAAGTGCTGGGATTACAGGCGTGAGCCACTGCACCCGGCCGATTTCAGTTTTTTAAAAATTTGCTGAGTATTGCTTTATGGCCAATTGTGTGGTTGATTTTAAGAGTCTGTGCCATGTGCAGATGAGACAAATTTATGTTCTGTTGTTGTTGGGCAGAGTGTTCTGTAGACGTTTTTTTAGGTCCCTTTGGTCAAGTGTCATGTTTAGGTCTCAAATACCTTTGTTAGTTTCCTGCCTTGATGACCTGTCTAATACTGTCAGTGGGGTATTAAAGTCTCCCACTCTTACTGTGTGGTTATCTAAGTCTCTTTTTAGATTTCTAAGAACTTGCTTTATGAATCTGAATGCTCCGGTGTTGGGTGCATGTATATTTAGAATAGTCAGGTCTTCTTTTTGAATTGAACTCTTTACTATTATTTAGTGCCCTTCTTTGTCTTTCTTTATCATTGTCAATTTAAAGTCTGTTTTGTCTGAAATTAGAATAGCAACCCCTGCTTTTTTTTTTCTATCTTCTGTTTGCTTGGTACATTTTTCTCCACCCCCTTACTTTGAGTCTATGGGTGTCATTGCATGTGAGATAGTGCTCTTGAACTATCAGAAAACTGTGGAGTCTTATTTCTTTATCTAACTTGCCATTATGTGCCTTTTAATTAGGGCATTTAGCCCATTTACATTCAAGGTTAATATTGATATGTGCAGATTTGATCTTGCCATCATGTTGTTAGGTGATTATTACGGAAACGTGATTGTGTCATTTCTGTATAATGTCAATGGTCCATGTACTTAAATATGTTCTTGTGGTGACTGGTAATTGTTTTTCCTTTTCATATTTAGCATTTCCTTTAAAACCTCTTATAAGGCAGGTCTAGTGGTAACAGATTCCCTTAGCATTTGCTTGTTTGAAAAGGATCTTATTTCTCCTTCACTAATGAAGCTTAGTTTGGCTGGATATAAAATTCTTGGTTGAAATTTCTTTCCTTTAAGAATGCTGAGTATAGGCCCCTAATATCTTCTGGTTTCTAGGGTTTCTGCTGAAAGGTCCACGTTAGCTTGGTGGGGTTTCCTTTGTAGATGACCTGCCCATTCTCTCTAGCTGCCTTTAACATTTTTTATTTTATTTCAACCTTAGACAATCTGATGGCTATGTGTCTTGCAAATAATCATCTTGTATAGTTTCTCACAGGGGTTCTCTGCATTTCCTGAATTTGAATGCTGGCCTCTCTAGTGAAGTCGGGAAAATTTTTGTGGTTGATATCCTCAAATATGTTTTCCAAGTTGCTTGCTTTCTCTCCCTCTCTTTCATGGATACCAATGATTTATATATTTGTTCTCTTAATGTAATTCCATATTTCGTGGAGGCTTTGTTCATTCTTCATTATTGCTTTTTCTTTCTTTTTGCTTGACTGAGTTTTTTGGAGAACCAGCCTTAAAGCTCTGAGATTCTTTTCTCAGCTTGGTCAATTCTGCTGTTAACACTGATGATTGTATTACACAGTTTTTGAAGTGAGTTTTTCAGCCCTATAAGTTTAGTTTGGTTCTTTCTTAAAATGGCCATTTCATCTTTTATCTCCTGTATTGTTTTATTGTGTTCCTTATATTCCTTGGATTGAGTTTTGACTTTCTACTGAACGTCAATGATCTTCATTGCTATTCATATGCCGGAACTCTATTTCTGACATTTTAGTATTTCTTTCTGGTTAATAACCATTGCTAGGGTACTAGTGGGGTCATTTGGAGTAAGAAGAACTAGCTTTTTGAGTTGCCAGAATTTTTGTGCTGGTTCTTTCTCATCTGTGTGGGCTGATGTTCCTCCAATTTTTGGAGTTGTTGTCCTTTGGAATTTTTTTAATTTTGCTTTTATCTTCTTTGATGCCCTTGAGGTTTTGATTGTGGTATATGGTGGGTTCAGTCAACTGGCTTCAATTCTAGTCCACTCCTGGGTCTTGCAGGAACCCTTTCTGATTACTCTCTTTGTGCCCCTGTTTCCTCTGTTGGGTGTTCCGGTCTAGGCAGGGGCTGCAGTTAGCAGACAGGCCATATACTTGCTGGTTCAGCTATAACTTGCTGCCTGAGTGCTTCCCAGGGGACATGGGATTGCACCTGCTTGCAGAGTTCAGGCAGAAGCAAAAGTACTGGACTTGAAATTTCTAGCAGGCATTTCCCACCTAGCTACCAGTGGTGGGGGGTAGGGTGGGGTCACCTGGCTGCAGTCCAGGTGCTTCCTGGGGCAACAGGAGGCTGCACCTGCTGGCTGAGTTCCCACAGAAGTGGACCACTGGGCCAGAAGTTCTAGCAGGCTTTGTCTGCCTGGCTACCAGTGGTGGGGATGGGTGGGGTCACCTACCCTGTCATCCAGGTGCCTCCTGGTACAACGGGAAGCTGCACTCACCAGCCGAGTTCAGGCAGAAGTGGGACTCCTAGGCTGGAAACTCTAGCAGGCATTGCCCACCTGGATACCAGCAGCACAGGTGAGCAGGGTTTCCCCAGGACAACAAAAGACTGTGTTGTTCCCAGGACAACAAGAAACTGTGCCTGGTGGCTGAGTTCAGACAGAAGCAGGGCCACTGAGCAAGAAACTTTAGCAAGTGTTGCCTGCCTGACTACTAATGGTGGAGGTGGGTGGGCTCACAAACCCTGCCATTTGGGGCTTTCCTGGGAAACAGGAGGCTGCACCATCTGGCTGGGTTCACACGGATGCAAGACTGCTGTGCCAGAGACTCTAGCAAGAGTTGCCTGCCGGTTGCTTCATTTTTTTCTAAATTATCTGAGAAATTACTTCAGCACATAGAAATGACAAAGAAATGACAAATACCTAATGAAAACTTGTACATTTCCTTTTTATTAAACATTTTAATTTCGGCCAGATGCAGTGGCTCATGCCTGTAATCCCAACAATTTGGGAGGCTGAGGTGGGAGAATAGCTTGAGTCTATGAGCTTGAGACCAGCCTGGGCAGCATGGTGAAACCCCATATCTACAAAATTTACCTAGGCATGGTGGTGTGCACCTATAATTCCAGTTACTCAGGAGGCTGAGGTGGGAGCATCACTTGAGCCCCTGTGGTCGAGGTTGCAGTGAGCCATGATTGCACCACTGCACTCCAACTGGGCAACAGAATGAGACCCTGTCTCAAAAAAAAATCCATTTAACCTTCTAAAACAGGGACAAATGTTTTTGAACTATGTATGATGTTCTTGACAATTCATGCATGTATGGATGATTTTCAATACTTTTATTTATCCAAGTGGACATTTCCAGTAAATATAAGCATCTAGATCCCAAAAGAAAGATCTGGGATACAGATGATAGCTGGAGTGTCTGGAAAATAATCTACACCCAATAAATATCTGTTGAAATAATTGATCTATCAATCAGTGAAAGGTATTAGCCTTAATGCATTAAGAGCCCCTATAACAAAATGGGAAAAAGGACAAAATATGTAAACAGTGCATAAAGGAAGAAATGCAAATGGATAATTATCACAGGAAAATATTCTAGCTCACTAATAATTTAAAAATTGAAACTCAAAGCCTCTAAATAGTTTTAATTATTTATCACCTATGACAAAATTTAAGTTCTTATTCTAATATAGTTGCATTAATAGATAAAAAGACTTTCACTTGAATTTTCATTTTTTATTTCTACCTCTTATGCAAAATCAATAGTAAAATGAATGCATTTAAAAACGCAGAAGTGGAGAGAAGCAGAGCAAGATGGCAGAATAGAAAGCTCCACCAATTGTCTTCCCTCACAAGGATACTAAGTTATACAACTATGTACACAGAAGAACACCTTCATAAGAACAAAATATCAGGTGAGCACTCATAGTACCTGGTTTTCTCTTCATATTGCTGAAAGAGGCACTGAAGAGATAGAAAAAACAGCCCTGAATTGCCAATGTCACTTCTCCCCCATGCCCTGCAGTGGTGCCATGGTGCAGAGAGCATCTCTGGCTGCTGGGGCACAGAGTACACAGCAATTGTGAGGCATCAAACTCAGTTTTGCACTGTTAGAGCAGAAAGGAAAACCAGAGCAAACTCAGTTGACAACTGCCCACAGAGGGAGCATTTATTACACATATATATATATAATTAGACTTTAAGTTCTAGGGTACATGTGCACAACATATATATCTATATATCTATCTATCTATCCATCTATCTATCTATCTATCTATCTATCTATCTATCTATCTATCTATATATAAAATTAGACTTTAAGTTCTAGGGTACATGTGCACAACGTGCAGGTTTGTTACATATGTATACATGTGCCATGTAAGCCTGAGCCAGAGGGGAATCACCCATCCTAATGGTCAGACTTGAGTGCCTTCAGCACTCTGGGTTTCCAAATAAGTTTAAAAGGCAACCTAGGCCATAAAGACTGCAACTCTTAGGTGAGTCCTAGTGCTGAGCTATACCCAGAGACAGTAAACTGGTGAGGTATGTGAACTGCTGAGACACCAGCTGGGGCAGCCTGGGGACTGCTGGCGTCACTCGTCCCCTGACCCGAGGCTGCACAGCTCATGACTCTAAAAAAGACTCCTTTCTTCCACTTGAAGAGAGGGGAGGGAGAAAAATAAATTAATCCTGTGATGTGGGTGTTGTTCTGGCCCACCACAACAGCTCCCAGGGCCAGGCAACCAGAACCTGGCAGGGTGTGTGGCAGCCACAGCTGCCTCCACAACAGGGCTGCTGCTGCCAGGGAGAGAGCTGGGGCCTGTACCCACAACAGGGGCAGCCCGACCATCCAGGCCTCTGAATCCGCCAGGGACTTGTTATACCTCTATTGCCATTTTAATTATGTATATTTGTATTTATCGGCATGTGTTGAGTTTCATAATATGATGTTGGTCTAAATAAATCAGTTTATAGATCTGTAAATAGGATATCATCTAATTGCTACTCTTAAATATAGGTGTTTATATCTGCATAGTAGAATTTCTAAAAAATATATATCTCTATATTTTTTCTTACGTATTTCATTTTTATCTATAGTGACAATATCTTGGCTTTGGAAGTGAAAATATAATAAGAATAAATAAAAATCCCTGACCTTTACCTTAAAAAAGTGGCTCAGCATCCAAAAGGGGAACATCCCTACTCAAAGAAAATCAAGTAATAGGGTCATCACAGAACAAATGTATG
This sequence comes from Homo sapiens, assembly GCF_000001405.40. Lineage (NCBI taxonomy): Eukaryota > Metazoa > Chordata > Mammalia > Primates > Hominidae > Homo > Homo sapiens. The sequence continues at coordinate 8,206 of NW_025791816.1, read as the reverse complement.
AATATACTCACATGACAGTCTAAATTGAGAAGCTTCAGGGAAATTACAGAAGGCTAAGGGAAGGGCAAGCTGTCTCTCAGGTGAACCTTATATTTGTAAGTCAGACCATGTCTTCACGTCCCAAGATTTTAGTGAAAGTCATGAGATGAAAGTAGTTTCACAGCACACTTCTCTCTGCACTCTCCCAAATGAAGCCCCTTGAACTCACAGTAGGCTCCTCTGTTTACTCACCTACTTAGCTAAGTTGTGAATGCTACCAGGGAGGTAAAGAGGAAGGGACTGCAGGAAACTACCCAGGGTTTAGCACTACAGTTTCCACAGGGGAGAATACTGACACAGAAGGATTCAGGCCCTGCTCATTCAGTCTCATTCAGCCCAGGTCCCAGGATCAATCAGCACATGTGAATTAAAACATCTTTGAAGCACCTTCCTTGTGCAATTAAAAACAATAAAAGGTGAGCATTTTTTCATGTGTTTTTTGGATGCATAAATGTCTTCTTTTGAGAAGTGTCTGTTCATGTCCTTCGCCCACTTTTTGATGGGGTTGTTTGTTTTTTCTTGTAAATTTGTTTGAGTTCATTGTAGATTCTGGATATTAGCCCTTTGTCAGATGAGTAGGTTGTGAAAATTTTCTCCCGTTTTCTAGGTTGCCTGCTCACTCTGATGGTAGTTTCTTTTGCTGTGCAGAAGCTCTTTAGTTTAATTAGATCCCATTTGTCAATTTTGGCTTTTGTTGCCATTGCTTTTGGTGTTTTAGACATGAAGTCCTTGCCCATGCCTATGTCCTGAATGGTAATGCCTAGGTTTTCTTCTAGGGTTTTTATGGTTTTAGGTCTAACATTTAAATCTTTAATCCATCTTGAATTAATTTTTGTATAAGGTGTAAGGAAGGGATCCAGTTTCAGCTTTCTACATATGGCTAGCCAGTTTTCCCAGCACCATTTATTAAATGGCCATCAGAGAAATGCAAATCAAAACCACAATGAGATACCATCTCATACCAGTTAGAATGGCAATCATTAAAATGTCAGGAAACAACAGGTGCTGGAGAGGATGTGGAGAAATAGGAACACTTTTACACTGTTGGTGGGACTGTAAACTAGTTCAACCATTGTGGAAGTCAGTGTGGCGATTCCTCAGGGATCTAGAACTAGAAATACCATTTGACCCAGCCATCCCATTACTGGGTATATACCCAAAGGACTATAAATCATGCTGCTATAAAGACACATGCACACATATGTTTATTGCGGCACTATTCACAATAGCAAAGACTTGGAACCAACCCAAATGTCCAACAATGATAGACTGGATTAAGAAAATGTGGCACATATACACCATGAAATACTATGCAGCCATAAAAAATGATGAGTTCATGTCCTTTGTAGGGACATGGATGAAACTGGAAATCATCATTCTCAGTAAACTATCGCAAGGACAAAAAACCAAACACCGCATATTCTCACTCATAGGTGGGAATTGAACAATGAGAACACATGGACACAGGAAGGGGAACATCACAGTCTGGGGACTGTTGTGGGGTGTGGGGAGGGGGGAGGGATAGCATTAGGAGATATACCTAATGCTAAATGACGAGTTAATGGGTGCGGCACACCAGCATGGCACATGTATACATATGTAACTAACCTGCACATTGTGCACATGTACCCTAAAACTTAAAGTATAATAAAATAAAATTAAAAAAAAAAAGGAAAGGAAAATACATGCATGCCCAGCAACTGTAATACAAAATCAGATCATGTTCTGAATGGGATGCATCCCTAAACCAAGAAAGGTATTTGTGTCTGGACACATTAAAACAAACTCACAGAAAGTGTTGTCTTCTTTCACTAGCATGGTCCAAATTGGATTATGGATGTACAGGTGTAGATGAGTAATAGTGTGAGTAAAAGACAGAATATTAGGCCCAGACAAATGGGAAAATGTTTCACATTCAGGATTTCCTGAGACATTGTTTTGGTATAGCTGGAACCAGAGAAATTGTAAGGCTTTGAATGCATCAGGGAACAAAGTGGCAAAAATGGTATTTGCAGATTCTGTCAGTGTTTCCTAGAGCATATAAACTGAGAAAATTGGTGTGTCCAATTTAGAAGCTCTGAAAGAAGATACATATTGCAAGGAAGGTGTATTAGTCTGTTCTCATGCTGCTGATAAAGACATACCCAAGACTGGGTAATTTATTTAAAAAAATAGGTTTAATGGACTAACAGATTTGTATGGCTGGGAAAACTTCACAGTCATAGTGGAAGGTAAAAGTTACATCTTACATGGTGGCAGACAAGAGAGAATGAGAACCAAGCAAAAGGGGAACCCCTTATAAATCCATCAGATCTCATAAGACATATTCACTACCATGAGAGCAGTATGGGGGAAACTGCCCCCATGATTCAATTATCTCCCACCAGGTCCTTCCCACAACATGTGGGAATTATGGGAGGTGTAATTCAAGATGAGAGTTGGGTGGGGACGCAGAGCCAAACAATATCACTCTGCCCCAGCCCCTCCCAAATCTTATGTCCTCCCATTTCAAAACCAATCATGCCTTCCCAACAGTCCCCCAAAGTTTTAGCTCATTTCAGCATTAGCAAAAAAAAGGGGCTAAAGGCCCCAGGCAAGTCTGAAATCCAGTGGGGCAGTCAAATTTTAAAGCTCCAAAATGATCTCCTTGGACTCCATGTCTCACATCCAGGTCATGCTGATGCAAGAGGTGTGTTCCCATAGTCTTGAGCACCTCCACCCCTGTGGCTTTGCAGGGTAAAGCCTACCTCCTAGCTGCTTTCATGGGCTGGTGTTGAGTGTCTGTTTTCAGTTGCATGGTGCAAGCTGTCAGTGAATCTACTATTCTGGGGTCTGGAGGATGGTGGCCCTCTTCTCACAGCTCCACTAGGCAGTGCCCCAGTGGAGACTGTGTGAGGACTTCAACCCCACATTTCCTTCTGCACTGCCCTAGCAGAGGTTCTCTATGAGGGTCCTTCCACTGCAGCAAACTCCTTCCTGAACACCCAGGCATTTCTGTCCATCCTCTGAAATCTAGGCAGAGGTTCCCAAAGTCAATTCTTGACTTCTGTGCACCCTCAGGCTCAACACCACAAGGATGCTGCCAAGGCTTGGAGCTTGTATCCTCTGAAGCCATGGCCCAAGCTGTACCTTAGCCCCTTTTAGCAATGGCTAGAATGGCTGGGGCTCAGGGCACCAAGTCCTTAGGCAACACACAGCAGGGGACCCTGGACCTGGCCCAGGAAACCATTTTTTCTCCTGGGCCTCTGGGCCTGTGATGCAAGGGGCTGCCTCAAAGTTCTCTGACTTGCCCTGGAGACATTTTCCCCACCGTCTTGGAGATTAACATTTGGCTTCTTGTTACTTACGCAAATTTCTGCAGCTGGCTTGAATTTCTCCTCAGAGAATGGGATTTTCTTTACTATTGTATTTTCAGGCTGCAAATTTTCCAAATTTTTATGCTCTGTTTCCCTTTTAAACCAAACTGCTTTTAACAGCACCCAAGTGAACTCTTGAATGCTTTGCTGCTTAGAAATTTCTTCCAACAAATACCCTAAATTATCTCCCTCAAGTTCAAAGTTCCACAGATCTCTAGGGCAGGGGCAAACTGCCACCAGTCTCTCTTTTTTTCTTTTTTTTCTTTTTCTTTTTTCTTTTTCTTTTTTTTTTTTTTGAGATGGAGTCTCACTCTGTCGCCCAGACTGGAGTGCAGTGGTGCAATCTTGGCTCACTGCAAGCTCCGCCTCCCAGGTTCATGCCATTCTCCTGCCTCAGCCTCCCAAGTAGCTGGGACTACAGGTACCCACCACCAAGCCTGGTTAATTTTTTTGTATTTTTAGTAGAGACGGGGTTTCACCGTGTTAGACAGGATGGTCTCGATCTCCTGACTTCATGATCTGCCTGCCTCGGCCTCCCAAAGTGCTGGGATTACAGGCGTAAGCCACCACACCTGGCCAACTGCCACCAGTTTCTTGGCTAAAACATAGTAGGAATCACCTTTACTCCAGTTCCTAACAAGTTCCTCATCTCCATCTGAGACCACCTTGGCATGGATTTCATTGTCCATATCTTTATCAGCATTTTGGTCAAAACCATTCAACAAGTCTCTAGGGAGTTTCAAACTTTCCCACATTTTCCCGTCTTATTCTGAGCCCTCCAAACTGTTCCAACCTCTGCCTGTTACCCAGTTCCAAATTCGCTTCCACATTTTCAGGAATCTTTACAGCAGTGCCCCACTCCCATACCAATTTACTGTACTGGTCTGTTCTCACACTGCTGTTAAAGACATATCCAGGACTGGGTAATTTACTGAAAAAAAAAAACAGGTATAATGGACTCATAATTCCACGTGGCTGAGGAGGCCTCACAATCATGGCAGAACAGAAGGCAAAAGGCAAGTCAGTCTTACATAATGGCAGGCAAGGGAGAATGACAACCAAGCAAAAGGGGAACCTCTTAAAAAACCATCAGATCTCATGAGACTTATTCACTACCATGGGAAAAATGTGGGGGAAACTGCACCCATGGTTCAATTATCTCCCACCGGGTTCCTCCCACAAGTGAATGTGTATTTGTCCTCCATGCATTTTTTCTTCCTCTTTTCCCTCATATAGCCAGGCATTTATAGATAAATACATGCAATAAAACAATACTGTTTTTCACTTATGAACATATATATGTAATAAAAGTATGAAGAATGGTCTTAAGAATGAGAAATCCAAATTCTTGATAGTGGTTACCCCTGGGGAAGAAGAAGTCTAATGTAATCAGAGAAAACTTCAAAGAGAGTTTCAACAGCATATGTAATGTTTTATTTCTTAATTCTAATATATAGAAGCCTATTATATTATCTTCCATAACTTTTTGTATGTCTGAAATATTTAATAACAATGTTTTTATAAGCTTTAACTGTAATTTTAAAAAGAGTCCATACTAATTTAGCAAATATGGGAAACATAGTCAAGTCCAGAATTAAATTTGTGATCAACCAACAACTCTACCACACATTATTTTCAAAAAATATATTATATCTGGCATTTCCTTCCATTATGTTGTCTTTATATGCATACAACAATGTGTATACATATGTGTTTTGCAAAATTGAAACATTATGTGTAATTTTCAGTATCTCCCCTTTTCACTCTTTAGCTATTGTAATTTTGCATATTTTAGAAAGTTTATGCTTATATTACTGTTTTCTTATGTGAATCATCTCTTGATGTCAAATATCCCCACCTCTCTATTCATTTTGAATACATACAGATGTGTGTGTATATATAAGAAATTTACATTTCTAGAAGTTATGACAGAATTGAGCCTAAATAACTAAATAAATGAATCGTATTAAATACAAGTAAATGGGTTAACTCAAGAGATATACCTAAAACAAATATACTCAAGATAGGTTAAATTTTTTTAAATAAACAAGAACATTTCAGTCAGCTACAAATAAAAATAACCAGGGTTATAATCTTTCTGTTTATGAGGGTAGAAGAGAGACCTAAGTAGATTAAAGAAGTTTTCCTTGTAGAGGTTGTTCACATCCTTGGTTAGGTATATTCATAAGTTTTTTTTTTCAGCTACTGTGAAAGCTGATTTCACAATAGCTGGATTTCAGCTTGATTTGATTCTCATCTTGGTCACTGGTGGTGTATAGCAGAGTGACCGATTTGTGTACATTAATTTTGTATCCTGAAACTGTGTGAATTTTCTAGGTTAATCTCATTAATGATCTATCAATTTTATTAGTCTTTGTAAAGAAAGAGCTTTTTGTTTCATGTATCTTTTGTATTTTTCTGTTTCAATTTCATTTAGTTGTGCTTTGATCTGTTATTTTTTTTATTCTGCTGGATTTTGGTTTGGTTTGTTCTTGTTTCTCCAGTTCTGAGAGGTGTGCCCTTAAACTATTTGTGCTCTTTCAGACTTTTTGATATAGGCATTTAATGCTATGAACTTTCCTCTTTGCACCACTTTTCCTGTATCCCAGAGGTTACATATCCTCTGTTCGCTGTATCCCACGGGTTGTGTCACTATTATCATTCAGTCAAAAAATTTTAATTTCCATCTTGATTTCATTGTTGGCCCAATGATTATTCAGGAGCAGGTTATTTAATTTCCATGCATTTGCATGGTTTTGAGAGTTCCTTTTGGAGTTTATTTCCAATTTTATTCCACTGTGGTCTGGGAGAGTACTTGATATAGCTTCAATTTTTAAAAATGTACTAAGTCTTGTTTTATAGCCTATCAGATGCTCTATCTTGGAGAATGTTCCATGTGCTGATGAGTAGAATGTGTATTCTGCAGTTGTTGGATAGAATGTTCTTTAAATATCTGTTAAGTCTATTTGTTGTAGGGTATAGTTGAAGTCCATTGTTTCTTTGTTGACTTTCTGTCTTGATAACCAGTCTAGTGCTGTCAGGGGACTATTAAAGTCCCCACTATTATTGTGTTGTCATCTATCTCATAAGTCTAGCAATAATAGGTTAATAAATTTGGAAGCTCCAGCGTTAGGTGCATATATATTTAGGACTGTGATATTTTCTTGTTGGACTGGTCCTTTTATCATTATATAATGTCTCCTGAAGACAGCAGAAACTTGGTTGGTGAATTCTTATCCATTCTGCCATTCTGTATCTGTTAAGTGGAGCATTTAGGCCATTTACATTCAATGTGAGTATTGAGATGTGAGGTGCTATTCTATTTATTGTGCTATTTGTTGCCTGAATAACTTGTTTTTTCTTCATTGTGTTATTGTTATATAGGTCCTGTGAAACTTATGCTTTAAGGAGGTTCTATTTTGGTGTATTTTGAGAATTTGTGTCAAGATTTACAGCTCCTTTTTGCAGTTCTTGCAGTGCTGGCTTGGTAGTGGCAAATTCTCTCAGCATTTGTTTGTCTGGAGAAGACTGTCTCTTTCCTTCATTTATGAAGTTTAGTTTTTCTGGATACAAAATTCTTGGCTGATAATTGTTTTGTTTAAGAAGGCTAACAATAGGACCCCAATCCCTTGTAGCCTGTAGGGTTTCTGCTGAGAAATCTGCTGTTAATCTGCTAGGTTTTCCTTTACAGGTTACATGATTTTTTTTACTTTGTCTTGACTTTAGATAATCTGATGACTATGTGCCTAGGTGATGATCTTTTTGCAATGAATTTCCCAGGAGTTCTTTGAGCTTCTTGGATTTGGATGTCTAGATCTCTAGCAAGGCCAGGGAAGGTTTCCTTGATTATGACCTAAAATATGTTTTCAAAACTTTTAGATATCTTCCTTAGGAACACCAATTATTCTTAGATTTGGATGTTTAACATAGTCTCAAACTTCTTGGAGGCCTTTTTCATTTTTGTTTTAATTCTTTTTTTTTTTTTTTTGTCTTTGATGGATTGGGTTAATTCAAAAGCCTTGTCTTCAAGCTCTGAAACTGTTTCTTTTGCTTATTTGATTCTGTTGCTGAGATTCTCCAGTACATTTTGCTTTTCTCTATGTGTGCCCTTGATTTCCAGAAGTTGTGATTGTTTTTTGTTTATTCTATCTTTTTCACTGAAGAATTTTCCTTTCATATCCAGTATCGTGATTTCAATTTCTTTAAGTTGGACTTCACTTTTCTCTGCTGCTTCCTTGATTAGCTTAATAATCAGCCTTCTGAATTCTTTTCCTGTAAATTCCAATAGTTTATCTTGGTTTGGATCCATTGCTGGTGAGCTGGCATGATCTTTTGGGGGTATTAAAGAATCTTGTTTTGTCATATTACCAGAATTCTTTTCTGGTTCCTTCCTATTTGGTTAGACTATGTTAGAGGGAAGGTTGGGATTCAAGGGCTGCTTTTCAGACTTTTTGGTCCCACGGGGTGCTCCCTTGATGTGGTGTTCTTCTCCTTCCCCTAGGAATGGTGCTTCCTGAGAGCCAAACTGCAATGATTGTTTTTGCTTTTCTGGGTCTAGTCACCCAGCACAGCTACCAAACTCTAGGCTGGTACTAGGGGACAAAGGACAAATATCCAGAATCTACAACAAACTCAAACAAATTAGTAAGAAAAAAGAAATCAAAAAGTAGGCTAAGAACATAAATAGACAATTCTCAAAAGAAGATATGCAAATGGCCAACAGGCAATGGAAAAATCCTTATCACTAATTATCAGGGAAATGAGAATCAAAACCGTAATGTGATACCTCACTCCTGCAAGAAATAAAGACA